>NW_021160026.1:0-300000 GCF_000001405.40 Homo sapiens | reverse complement strand
CTGCGTAGTATTCCATGGGGTATATGTGTCACAATTTCTTAATCCAGTCTATCATTGATGGACATTTGGGTTGGTTCCAAGACTTTGCTATTCTGAACAGTGCCACAATAAACATACGTGTGCATGTGTTTTTATAGTAGCATGATTCATAATCCTTTGGATATATACCCAGTAATGGGATTGCTGGGTCAAATGGTATTTCTGGTTGTAGATACTTGAGGAATTACCACACTGTCTTCCACAGTGTTTGAACTAATTTACACTCCAACCCACAGTGTAAAAGCGTTTTTGTTTTTCCACGTCCTCTCCAGCATCTGTTGTTTCCTGACATTTTAATGATCCCCATTCTAACTAGCGTAAGATGGTATCTCATTGTGGTTTTCATTTGCATTTCTCTGATGACCAGTGATGATGAGCAATTTTTCATGTCTGTTGGTTACATAAATGTCTTCTTTTGAGAAGTGTCTGTTCATATCCTTTGCCCACTTTTTGATGGGATTGCTCGTTTTTTTCTTGTAAATTTGTTTAAATTCTTTGTAGATTCTGGATGTGAGTCCTTTGTCAGATGGGTAGATTGCAAAAATTTTCTCCCATTCTGTAGGTTGCCTGTTCACTCTAATGATAGTTTCGTTTGCTGTGTAGAAGCTTTTAAGTTTAATTAGATTTCATTTGTCTATTTTGGCTTTTGTTGCCATTGTTTTTGGTGTTTTAGTCATGAAGTCTTTGCCCATGCCTATGTCCTGAATGGTATTGCCCAGGTTTTCTCTTAGGTTTTTATGGTTTTGGGTCTTACATTTAAGTCTTTAATCCATCTTGAGTCAATTTATGTATAGGGTGTAAGGAAGAAATCCAGTTTCAGTTTTCTGCATATGGCTCGCCATTTTTCCCAGCAACATTTATTAAATAAGGAATCCTTTCCCCATTGTTTGTTTTTGTCACATTTGTCGAAGATCCAATGGTTGTAGATGTGTGATGGTATTTCTGAGGCCTCTGTTTTTTTCCATTTCTCTATATATCTGTTTTGGTACCAGTACCATGCTGTTTTTGTTACTGTAGACCTGTAGTATAGATTGAAGTCAGGTAGTGTGATACCTGCAGCTTTTCTCTTTTTGTGTAGGATTTTCTTGCCTATGCAGGCTGTTTTTTGGTTCCATGTGAACTTCAAAGTAGTTTTTTCCAATTCTGTGAAGAAAGTCAGTGGTAGCTTGATGGGGATAGCATTGAATCTGTAAGTTATCTTGGGCAGCATGGTCATTTTCATGATATTGATTCTTCCTTTCCAGGAGCATGGAATGTTCTTCCATTTGTTTGTGTCCGCTTTTATTTCATGGAGCAGTGGTTTGTAGTTCTCCTTGAAAATGTCCTTCACATCCCTTGTAAGTTGGATTCCTAGGTATTTTATTCTCTTTGTAGCAATTGTTGAGTGGGAGTTCACTCATAATTTGGCTCTCTGTTCATCTGTTATTGGTGTATGGAAATACTTGTGATTTTTGCACATTATTTTGTATCCTGAGACTTTGCTGAAGTTGCTTATCAGATTTAAGGAGATTTTGGGCTGAGACAATGGGGTTTTCTAAATATACAATCATGTCATCTGCAAACAGAGACAATTTGGCTTCCTCTTTTTCCTAATCGAATGTCCTTTATTTCTTTCTCTTGCCTGATGGCCCTGGCCAGAACTTCCAATACTATGTTGAGTGGGAGTGGTGAGAGAGGGCATCGTTGTCTTGTGCTGGTTTTCAAAGGGAATGCTTCCAGGTTTTGCCCATTCTGCATGATATTGGCTGTGGGTTTGTCATAAATAGCTCTTATTATTTTCAGATGTGTTCCATCAATACCTAGTTTATTTAGAGTTTTTATCATGAAAGGCTGTTGAGTTTTGTTGAAGGCCTTTTCTGCATCTATTGAGATAGTCATGAGATTTTTGTCATTGGTTCTGTTTATGTGATGAATTATGTTTATTGATTTGCATATGTTGAACCAGGCTTGCATCCCAGGGATGAAGCTGAATTGATCGTGGTGGGTAAGCTTTTGGATGTGCTGCTGGATTTGGTTTGTCAGCATTTTATTGAGGATGTTTGCATTGATGTTCATCAGGGATATTGTTTTTTTGTTGTGCTTCTGCCAGGCTTTGGTATCAGGATGATGCTGACCTCATAAAATGAGTTAAGGAAGATTCCCTCTTTTTCTCTTGATTCGAATAGTTTCAGAAGGGATGGTAGCAGCTCCTCTTTGTACCTCTGGTAGAATTCCGTTGTGAATTCGTCTGGTCATGGACTTTTTTTGGTTCATAAGCTATTAATTATTGCCTCAATTTCAGAACCTGCTATTGGTCTACTCAGAGATTCAACTTCTTCCTCGTTTAGTCTTGGAGGTGTGGATGTTTCCAGGAATTTATCAATTTCTTCTAGGTTTTCCACTTTATTTCCGTAGAGGTGTTTATAGTATTCTCTGATGGTAGTTTGTATTTCTGTGGGTTTCGTGGTGATATCCCCTTTGTCGTTTTTTATTGCGTCTCTTTGATTCTTCTCTCTTTTCTCCTTTATTTGTCTTACTAGTGGTCTATCTATTTTGTTAATCTTTTCAAAAAACCGGCTCCTGGGTTGATTGATTTTTTGAAGTGTTTTCTGTAACATTCAATTTTTTTTAATTCTGTTAAAAAATTTTTTTCCTTATATTTATTTTTAGGACAATGTTTTATGAGCTTTTGACAAGACTGTGAGTTTTGTTGTTGTGTAGAGTGATCTCTATGCATCTGTAACATCTAACTGTTTTACAGTATTTTCATGTCCTCTGTTTTCTTCTTAACATTCTCTCTGGCTTTATTATTAATTACAGAACTGGTGTATTAAAATATTGTTCTCAGTATATTGCAGTTTTTTGTTTATGTTCTGACAAAATATTATTGATTTATTTTAAAATCTTCATGTGAGGTTCATATATATGTGTGTCTGTATACATAATTAGATAAATACACACAATTATATAAAAGTATATTATATAAATGTATATAATTTTCCTAGGTTTCCAGTGAATAAACTTTTTTATTATTTTGTCCTTTGTTTTCTTTGACAGTTTTAACTTATAATTTATTTTATAAACTAAGACAGTTATTTAAAAAGTATTTTGCATAATGTGCTCGTGACGTTGTCTTCATTTCATTACGATTTGCATAAAATTGTTTTGATGCATCTTGCCACTTTTAGTCTGTTTTTGTTACTATATAGTAAGATGGCTCATATCTGTCATCCGAGCATTTTAGGAGATTGAGGTGGGAGGTTAACTTGAGCCCAGAAGTTTGAGACCAGCCTGGGAAACAAAGCAATACCATGTCTCTAAAATAAATAAATAAATAAATAAATTGAATCCCCTGTAGACAGATGTAGTTAGATTTTATTTTATTTTTTATCTCTGTACTCTATTTATGACTTTTGTTTGAGAAGTTTAGTTTGTGAGTAGCTACATAATTTCCTGCATTTGAAGGAATTACTTTTGACACTTTTTGGAGTAAAAGGTAAATATTAAATTTGAACTCAATTGGACATGGACTCAAACAATGGTCACCAAGTCCCGGAACAGGTTGTGTGAGCCCCTTGAAGCCCTCATCTAGCGCTGTTTCAGATAAATCTCTATTTCAATTTATTCCTATATCTTAGTTATTGAAAAACAATAGACAATCAAAAAAACAAGTTGACCTTTTTGTGTTCCTTGAGCCCCGTTGTGAATAGCCTTCCTGACCGGACTTCATGCCAAATAACTCATTACAAAAAGAGCTGGGGTTCCAGACTGCGCCAAAGCTTCATGAGATCTCACGTTGTCTGTGGACGGATGAGTGGCCAATCTGGAGCCCAGGCTGTTGCTTCACAGTCTCGTGGTGAATCCTCCATAGTTTGGTGAGTTTAAATATATATATATATCTTTTCCCTTCTCCCCATCCCATTGCAACTTGCTTATATATTTGCTTATTATATCTGCATTGCCATTTAAGTGGGATAAAGTTTGTTTGAATCACTGGCTGTGCGTGAGGTGCAGCAGGGAGTCCCAGTTGGTAATTGTAATGCTGAGGGAATTTCCCAGCATTGATGATGCTTGCTTACTGCTTATAAGTTAAAGTGTCAATATAGGGACTGGTTGTTACAAGAGAAATGTAAGCTGGAAAAGGAAAATTTTAATCTGACTTCCAGACTGGCCCTGGTACCATGCCAGGCCTGTCTTGACTGATCAGGCTCAAAGCTATCAGCCTATTGCTGAAAAAGCAGCTGTCCGAGTTGCCCAGTCAGGGTAAAACTGAATAACTAGTCAGTTTTCAGGGCAGAAGAGGGTAAAAACCCAAATCCTATCTCAAGGATGGGAAGTTAACTCTAATAAAATTCAATGGCCTGCACAAAGTGTAAAGTTCCTTGGCATCCTATGGACTGCAGGGAAACAGTCCATTTTACCAAAGGCTAACGCTAAAATACTAGAATTTGCAGCCCTACCACTGAAAAGGAGGTCCAAAATTGTATTGGCTTGTTTGGATTCTGGAGACATCATATTCCCCCCTTGGGTAACATATTACAACCTCTGCATGCAGTCACTAGAAAACACTATGAATATCACTGGAGAGAGAAAGACAGCCTGGCTTTTCAACAAGCAAAACAAGCTGAGCAACTGGCCCTGGATCTATGGCCCTTATAGGATGAGTCAACAGAACTGCAAGTAACTGTCCTACATCAACATGCTAATTGGAGCCTTAGGTAGAAACAAGATGGGAAGAAGATACCTTTGGAGTTTTAGACCCAGAAGCTGCCAGAGGCTGGCAAAGCTTATACTCTTTGAGAAGCAGCTGTTGGCCTTCTACTGCGCTTGAAGGAAGCAGAACACCTTTGTTTTAATCATGATGTTTTTATGAGGCCCCAAATTCCTATTATGACTTGGGTCATGAGCTCCCTCAAAACCCATTGGATAGGGTACACTCAAGAATGTAGTATCATAAAATGGAAATGGTACATACAAGACCAGGATAAGCCAGAACTAAAAGCGGTATCATTTTTACTTGAAGATGTGCAAAACTTGCCAACTCAGGAAACCACAGGGCAAGTCCTGCATATAGGGAAGGAAACCTCCCCTGCCCAATGGGGCAAATTCTTTAAAGAACTAAGCCCAGAGGATCAGAAACACGCTTGGTTACTGATGGTTCCACCAAATACATTGATGGGACCTGATGCTGGGAGGCCGTGGCTTATAATCCTGTTAAAAACATAAGCGTTTCTGATGAAGGGAGGGGTGTGAGCAGCCAGCTGGCTGAACTAGAAGCCATCCTCCGAACTATTCAGGAGGAGGCCAGAGCAATTTGTTGCTTGTATACCGACTGTTGGTCAGCAGAAAATGGTCTTACTACCTAGTTGCCCGAATGGCAATGAAACAAATGGTGAATAATGAATAAAGAGGTTTGGAGAAAACAATACTAGGAAGATACCTGAATCCTGATGCACATTACTATTATTGCTGTTTTTCATATTGATTCTCATGCATCTCTGCATTCTCTTGACAGACTAAACAGCAGGTAGATCAACAGGCCAAAATTTCCAGCATAAATGCAAACTTGAATGTGGGTGAATGGATTACAACACATTCAAGCCTGGCGATGAGACACATTATAATGTATGGTGGTATAATTGATAATGATTACCAGGAAGAGTTAAAGTTCACTTTACACAATACCACTCCACATTCTTTTGTTACAGGACTGCAGATTCAGGTTGCTCAATTGTCAGTGGTACCTGGTACCTTGTTAACAATTAACCCCTGAGGAAATCTCTGCCCCAACAGAGGCTACGTACAGAACTGGGAAATTAAGATCCACTGGTATAGGTAGCTTAAATCCTGGAGCGAAAATATGGATACAGCCTCCATCAGATCCCGCCCCTAAGGCTGGTGACCTTGTAGCTATGGGAGCAGAAAATAAAAGGGTAGTACAGTTTCCTAAAAATGAAAAACAATATCATGTTCCCCTTCAGTTTTGTTGTTACAGAGAATAACCTGTCTACTAGTAATCAGTACCTGGGTCATCAGGTCTGAGGTGGAGAGTGAATTCATCAACTGGGCAGCAACCACTGCGACAGAAGCCAACCGCAGTCAATGCTGGCTATGCATCAAATTGCCAGAGGCCACAGGAAATGGACTGCCTTGCAGAGTTGTCCTTGCCAATATTTCTGAATGGCTCTGTCACTACAAATGGGGCCAAAACAACAACACTTGCAATCCAACCTGGACTTCCTTTGCTACTTTAATAACATCTTAATACACTATAATTGTAGTATAACCATTGCTGTCCCCTGGGGGGCCCTCTGGGTATGCAGACCCTATTGGATGGGGAGATTCACTTGGGGGTGCCATTAATTCCATTCACCATCCGGGATAATATTCCCTTCCCCAATAATCTAGATGCTTACAAAGGTAGCTGGTTATGAACGTGCCAGACTCCCTGGTGGTGGAAAACTATCACAGTATTCTCCCTTGCCCCTCGTACAATCCTGCTTCAGCAACAAATTAAAATATTAAGTCCATATATAGTAAAAGCTCCTAAGATAGTAGCACTGGACTTCTGTTGTTATCAGAAGAACTTGTTCAGCTGTGTACTGTTGTGTTGCAAAATCGAATGGCATTAGGTATGTTTACCGCAGCCCAAGGAGGGGTTTGAGTCTTGCTGCATTCTGAATGTTGTGTGTATCCCTGACAGTTCTCGCAGTATTACTCTCCTTGCCGAAGACATGCAAGGACAAGTAAAACAGTTAGAATCTAACCATCAGGACCCCATCATGGACTGGCTGTCAAACTAGCATTGGCGTTGGCCATGGTGGGTGTGGTTTCTATTAATTGTGCTTTTAATTCTCCTCTGCTCTATCTGTAATCTATACCAGTTGTGCCTTCCCCGTATAACTGTAAAAATATTTTCCTATGATTCAGTGTCAAATTGAGGCTGAATGAGGAGGAAAAGTTAAATATTAAATTTGAACTCAATGAACATGGACAGAAACAATGGTCACTAAGCCCTGGAACAGGTTGTGTGAACCCCTTGTGGAATTCATCCAGCACTGTTTCTGAGAAATAGTTATTGAAAAACAACAGAAAATCGCAAAAACAAGTAGGCCTTTTCGTTTTCCTTGAGTCCAGTCACGAAGGGCCCTTGTGAGTGGGCCTCATGCCGAACAAATCGTTACAAAAAAAGCTATGGTCCCAGACTGTGCTGAAGCTTAATGAGACCTCTCCTTGTCTGTGCAGGGGTGGGTGGCTGACTCTGGAGCCCAGGCTGATGCTTTCCTATAGGCAAAGCTCAGGGAACAGAGGAGAGTCACATCAAATAGTTGATGAGTCAAGAGATATGTCACAGGGACTCCTGTATGCAGGGTCCAGACAGGAAATCCACATCGTTTTGGTGCTGAGCCCAGCAATATATTACAATGTCTTCTGAGGGAAGAACCAAGGCAAAAAATTAATGTCACTTTGATGTTAAGCCCAGTGATACATCACAATTTCCACTGCAGGAAGAACCTAGGCAGAAGAGAATAGTTACATCAGCTAGATGGTGCCCCCATTGATATGTCACAATGTCCACTTGAACAGGAATCAGTCAGCAGAAGCAAGTCACATCACCTGAGTGATGGGTGCAGAGATAAGTCACAATGTCCCCTGTAGGCAGAGCACGGAAAGGAGAGCTGCATAACCTGGGTGTTGGACCCAGCAATATAGCTTATATGGTAGACCCCTGGCAGAAAAATTACAAAACATGGGTGCAGCACCAAGTATATGTTATAATGTCCCCTGTGAGCAGCACCAAGGCAGGACAGGAGACTCGCATCACTTGGTTGCTAAGACAAGTGATCTGCTACAATCTTCTTTGTAGGCAGGGTGCACACACTTTTTTTAGGTGGTGAATGCAGAGAGATGTCCCAAGGCCCCCTGTGAACAGGGCTCAGGCAGTAGCCATCAATTCCCTAGGTATTATGCCCAGCAGTATGTCACAATATACAAAATATGCAGGGCCCAGGGAAAAGAGGAGAGTCACATCATGTGGGTGCTTGTCCCAGTGATTTGTTACAATCTCTCTTTTTGACAGGACCCAGGCAGAAGAGGGGGGTCATAGGTGCTGGGTTCAATAATGTCACAATTTTATCATGGGCTGGGCTACGCAGAAGAGTCAAGTCACTCACGAGCTGGGCCGAGATATATTTCACAGTTATACCTCCAGGAAAGTCCAGGGCTGAGACTGACAATCCTGCACATGTCCCATATCTAGGTGTGAGAGCAAACACATTGTGTTTGTTGGGTCTAAGTGTAGAAGTCACAGTCTCAATGGTGCACTGGATCTGTGCATGGCAGCTTCAGTCTTTCCCGAGGACCGTGGCCCCTTAATGGAGTCACAGCCTCACGTGTTTGCTTAATGTTGGTTTTAGAGTCACTGACTCAAACATGGATCGCATCCACTTATGAGAGTCAATTATTCATCTCTCAACCGCCTCCAGGTGTGAGATTTGGAACCTCAACAATGGGCTGTGTTCATGTGAAAAGATGACAATTTTTACTCTTGGCTCAGCGTAGATATGAGTGTCACAATCTACTTTTGTTCTGGGCCCTGTCAGGACACTCTCTTCACCATATGAAGCCTTTATAGAGTATGCATGAATGTAACAATTCTCCCTGAAACCTTAAGCAGGCACGGACCCCTCCTTGTGCCTTTAGCTTTAAGCCCTGGTATGACAGTCAACATCTTTCTACTTGGATGGGTCCAAATAAGAGTTCTTAACTGCCTATGAGCTGCGTTTAAAAATGAGTCAGCATCACACCTGTGGCTGGATGTTCACATATGAAAGTCACAATCCCAGTTGTGGACTGTGTCTGCATGTGTAATTCAGGACCTCAAGAGTGGGCTCTCTCCACGTGTGATAGAGACCATCCTGAATATTGGTGTGGTGTGCATCTGAGAAGTATAATCTCACCAGTGTGGCGAGCCCTGTGGTGACAATTTCTCTACCATAGTTTACACAATATGCAAGACAGTGGTACTCCTCCGTGTGACGTATCACTGGGCCTTGCACACAGGTAATGTGAGTCTCCTCTCCTGCCTTGGAACGCTCACAGGAGGCATTGGGTCATACCACTGAAGCTGATATTCAGGTTATGTGACTGTCTTTCCTGTGCTCTGTCCATGAGCTTTTGTGACATATTTCTGGGTCCAAAACACAGGTGACATAACTCTCCTGTCTGAACTCTGCCTAGAGAGGGCATGGTGGCATATCTCTGCACCAGCCACTAGATGATGTGACTCTATCTTCTGTCTAGTCTCTGCCTACAGGGTGAATTGTGACTTATCACCCGGCGCAGCATTTAGCTAATGTGACTCTTCCCTTTTTTCAGGTTCTGCCCTCGGGGGAGATTGTGACATATCGATTTGTAAAACACCAAAATGATTTTACTCTTTTGTCTTGGCTCTGCCCTCAGAAGGCTTTCGGATATATTGCTGAACAAGCACCAAGGTAATGTGATTGTCCTACCTGAACCCTGCCCACAGGGAGCATTGTGACATATCTCTGAGCCCATGAACTATTTGATATGGCTCTATTCTCTTACCTGGGCTTTGCCCATGAGAAAGATTGTGACGTATTTCTTGATCCAGTGCTTAGGTAATGTGATTCTCCTCTCCAGCCTGAGACATGCCCACAGAAGTAAGAGTGACATCTCTGGGCCTAGCCCACAGGTGATGTGACTCTTATCCCTTGTTTCTGCCCAGGGGAGTCATTGTGATGTATCTCTGAGACCATTATAAGAATGATGTGACTCTCCTGTTCTTACTGCGACCTGTCCACAGTGGGGATGATGATGTATCACTTAGGCCAGCACATATGTGGTGAGATTCTTCTCATGCCTGTGCCCTGCCCCCTGGGCTAATTGTGACATATAACTGGGCCCCTCCCCTAGGTTATGCAACATATCCCTGTGGTAACACTCTTTGTACCATTTAAGAGCTTTATATAATATGAGAGAGTTGTATTCCTCTAAGACCTTCACACAAAAGGAAGAGTTAAGACCTACCGGTTTTCCAAAGCCTCCCTATGAAAAACAGCATTTCTCTTAGTGGCAGGTTTGAGGTATGAGAGTCATTATTACACCTGTGAGCTGGCCAAGATATATGTTTCAATCTCTCCTGTGGGTAGGGAGTGAGCAGGAGAGTCACGTCACCAGGATGCTTGGCCTGAGATCTGTCAATATCTTCCCTGATGGCAGGGAACAGGTAGGAGAGTCACATACCTAAGGCTGGGCCAGGGATATGTAACAATGTTTTCTGAGGTCAGAGGCTAGGAGGGGAGTCCCATCACTTGTGTGCTCACAGGGGATATGTTACAATCCCCTCCTGAAATCAGAGTACAAGCAGCAGAGTCAAATCACCTGAATATTGAGCTCAGTGATATGTCACCACACTCCCTGTGGGCAAGGCCATAGCAGGAGAGAAACATCACCTGATTACTGATTACTGGGCCCAATGATATGTCAGAATCTTTCCTGTGGGCAAGGTGCAGGCAGAAAGGAGATTCACATCATCTGGTGTTGGAAGCAGAAATATGCTACAAGGCTCACTGTGGACAGAGTTCAGGCAGGAGCCTCTAATCTCCTAGGTGTTAAGTTCAGTGATACGTTACAATGCTCCCTGTGGGCAGCACGAAGGCAAGAGAATAGAGCCACATCACCTATGTTCCAGGTCCAAAGATATGTCCCAATTTTATTTGTGAGCTGGGCTTAAACAGAAGAGTCTAATCACTCAGGTGGTGGACAAATGTGTATGCTTGTCACAATGACACCTGCAGGAAAGTCCAGATATGGGATGAATCCCGCACATATTCTGGTTTTACGCATGAGAGTGAACACCTTCTGTATGTTTGATCTAAGTACACAAGTCACTATCTCAATAGTGGACTAAATTTGTGCATGGCAGCCCCATTTTCTCTTGCGTACTTTGTCCCCTAATTGAAATCACAGCTTCCTAGGTGTGCTGACTCATGATCTGAGAGTCATCAACACATCTGTGACTCTCAAATATGAGAGTCAATTTTTCAACTTGTCAATCTGCCTTTGGGTATGGGATTCAGAGCCTCAAAAGTGAACTATGATCATGTGAAAGAACGACAATCTTTAATGTTGGCTGGGTGTGCATCCCAATGTCATTATATTACTGTGTGCTGAGCCCTATTAGGACTTTCTGTGTTGCACCTGACGGCTTTATGTTGTATGCATGACAATCTCAATTCTTTCAGAGATTTTCATGCTGGTATGGACCCATGATCAAACCTGTGGCCCTAAGCCTATATGAGTCAACATCTTTACAATTGGCGGGGTCCAGATAAGAGAATCATCAGCTTTCTATGCGCTGGGTTTATAACAAAGTTCCCATTCCAACTCTGGCCAGATCTTTACATATGAGATTCGCAATTCCAACTATAAACTGCTTTCATGTGTGAAATTCAGGACCTCACCAGTGGGTTCTGTTTGTATGTGAGGGTGAAAATCATAATGGTCAGGAGGGTTCAGGGTGCGCATAGGAGTAACAAATTTCACCTGTGCGCTGGGCCCTGTGATAAGACTCTCTACCACCCGAGGGCTTTCTGTAATATGTGAGAGAGTGGATGATCTTAGTGAGGAGACCCAGGGTTTTTTTTCATTTCCCTAAGTGTAGCTAGGAGAAGCAGTATCTCTTCTATTGGCTGGTTTGACATATGAATGTCATCATTGCACCTGTGTGTTGTGTTCCAAGCTATATGTCACAATTACACCTGCATATAGGAAGAGAGCAGGAGAGTAAAATCAGTTGGACGCTGGGCCAGTGATATGTCGCTTCCCTGAGGACAGGGACCAGGCAACAGTCACATTATCTGAATGTTCAGGCATTGGTATGTTGCAATCCACTCCTCACATTAGGAACCAGGCAGCAGAGACACATCACCTGCATGCTGGATCTAGCAATATTTCACAATCCTCTCTGTGGTCAGGATGCAGGCAGAAGAGTCACATCTTCTTGGTGATGAATGCAGAAATATGTCACAAGCTTCACTGCACGTAAGGTAGAGGAATAAACCTTTTATTCCCTAAGTGTTGGGCCTAGGGATATGTCACAATACCCAAAATATGCAAACCCAGGTAAAAGAGAACAGTCACATTACCTTGGTGGTAGGGTCAGTGATATGTCACAATCCCCTCTTTTGGAAGGGCCCAGATAAGAGTGGAGAGTCACATCGCCTAGGCAATGAATAGAAGAGTATGTTATAATACCCCTGTTGGCAAGACCTATGCAGAAGAGTCACATCACCTATGTGTTCAACCCAGATATATGTTACTGTACACCATGTATGCAGGGCCCAGGCAAGAGAAAAGGCCACATCACCTCGGTTCTGGGCCCAGCAATATATCACAATTCCCCCTAAGAGGAGGTAACAGACAGCAGAGTCACATCACCTAGGTCTGAGGAGCAGAGCTATATGGTAGTGCCCTGTGTGTGTGGGCCCAAAAATAGAGGAGAGTTACATCACCTGAAGACTGTACCCAGCTATAAGTCTCAATCACCCCTGTGGGCAGCACCCAAGCATGAGAAGAGAGTACCATCATGTAGGTGCTGTGCCAGGCTGTATTTCACAATCTCCACTATGGATAGGTTTCAGGGGGAAGAGGAGCATTACATTATCTAGTTGATGAGTCTAGAGATATGTCAAAATGACCCCTCTGGAGACACCAGGATGCAGAATCACATGACCTGTGTGCTGGGTCTAGGAATAACCCACTCTGCCTTCTGTAAACATGGCCACGGCAGAAGATGAGGGTCACATATTTAAGGTGATGAACGCGGAAAGATTTCACAAGGCTCCCTGTAGGCAAGACCCAGGCAGGACTTTCCCTTCCCTCAGTTGTTGGGAGGAGAAATACATCACAATGTGGGGCTCAAGCAGAAAACAAAAGAAATATCCCTTATTTTCTGGGCTCAGAATTATGTCACAATCTCTCCTATGGGCAAAGCCTTTGTTAAAAAAGGAGAATCTTGTCAAATAGTTGATGGGCTCAGAGATATGTCCCAATGCCATATGTTACAAATTGCTGTAGGCAGGCTTCAGGCAGGAGATGGGCCTAATAATGAGTCACAGTGCTTTCTGCTTGCAGAGCAAAGTCAACAGAGTAATGTCACCGAGAAGTTGGACCCACCAATGTATCACAATCTCCTTCCAAACAAATCCTAAAAAACAAAAGAAGAGTAACATGAGCTAGGTGCTGGGCACAGTGATATGTCACAATCCTTTCTTTAAGCAGGGACTAGGCAGGAGAAGAAAATCACACCACATGGGTGATGGGCTCATAGATATTTCACAATGTCCCCTTAGGCAAAGCTCAGGAAGGAGAGGTAAATCATCTAGGTTTTGGATGCAACAATATGTCAAAATGGCCATTGTGGACTGGGCACAGGCAGAAGAGTCACATAACATGGATGTGGGACCCAGCAATACATCACAACACCCCTGTGAGTAGCACTAATGCAAGACAGAAAACATACATTACCTAGGTGCTAGGCCAAGTGATATGTCCCAATGTCCCCTGTGGGCAGCACCAAGGCGGGAGATAAGAGTCACATCATCTAGGTGCTGGCTTCAGTGATATATCAGAATCCCATCTGTGAGCTGGACACAGGAAACAGAGCTAAAACACTCAGGAGCTGGGCAGAGATGTATGTCACAATCCCACCTGCAGAAAGCGATAGGGATGAGATGAACAACTCCACACATGTCCGGATTCCAGGTATGAGAATTTGTATGTTTGGCCTAGGTACACCAGTCCCAATCTCAACAGTGAACTGAATTCATAAATGACTCTTCTCTGGCTGAGAAGAACTTCTCCCCTTAGGAGAGTTACAGTCTCACAGATGTAATGAATTTTGGTTTGAGAGTCACCCACCTACCTGTGGACAAGATCCATATATGAGAGTCAATTTTCTCTTTCTTTCTTTTTCTTTCTCTCTTTCTTTCTTTCTTTCTTTCTTTCTTTCTTTCTTTCTTTCTTTCTTTCTTCTTTCTTTCTTTCTTTCTTTCTTTCTTCTTTCTTTCTTTCTTCCTTTCTTTCTTTCTTTCTTCTTTCTTCTTTTTCTCTTTCTTTCTCTTTCTTTCTTTTTCTTTCTTTCTTTCTTCCTTCCTTCTTTCTTCTTTCTTTCTCTTTCTTTCTTCTTTCATTCTTTCTTTTCCTTTCTTTCTTTTTCTTTCTTTCTTTCTTTCTTTCATTCTTTCTTTCTTTCTTTCTTTCTTTCTTTTCCTTCTTTCCTTCTTTCCTTCCTTTCTTTCTTTCTTTCTTTCTCCCTTTCTTTCTTTCTTTCTTTCTTTCTTTCTTTCTTTCTTTCTTTCTTTTTCTTTCTTTCTTTCTTCTTTTGGTCCCTTGAGACGGAGTCTCACTCTATCGCCAGGCTGGAATGCAGTAGGGCGATCTCGGCCCTCTGCAACCTCTGCCTCCTGGGTTCAAGCAACTCTCTTGCCTCAGCTTCCCGAGTAGCTTGGATTGCAGGTACGTGCCACGACGCTCAGCTAATTTTTGTATTTTTAGTAGAGATGGGGTGGCCAGGCACAGTGTCCCATGCCTGTAATCCCAGCACTTTGGGAGGTCGAGGTGGGTGGATCACCTGAGGTCAGGAGTTTGAGACCAGCCTAATCAATATGGTGAAGCCCCGTCTCCACTAAAAATACAAAAATTAGCTGGGAATGGTGGCATGAGACTGTAGTCCCTGCTACTCGGGAAGCTGAAACAAGAGAATTGTTTGAACCCGGGAGGCGGATGTTGCAGTAAGCCTAGATGGTGCCACTGCACTCCAGTCTGGGTGACAGAGCAAGACTCTGTCTCAAAATAATCATAATCATAATCATAATCATAAATAGTAGAGAGACGTGGTTTCACCATGTTGGCCAGGATGGTCTTGATCTCCTGATCTCATGATCTGTCCGCCTCGGCTTCCCAAAGTGCTGCGATTACAGGCGTGAGCCACTGAGCCACGCCGGTTGTGCCCATTTTTGAGGATGGTAACTTTTATTGTCACCAGAGTGTGCATGAGTGTTAGAATCTCACCTGTTTGCTGGG
Organism: Homo sapiens; assembly: GCF_000001405.40. Taxonomy (NCBI): domain Eukaryota; kingdom Metazoa; phylum Chordata; class Mammalia; order Primates; family Hominidae; genus Homo; species Homo sapiens. Next base: position 284,871 of record NW_021160026.1, on the reverse strand, counting down.
CCCTGTTAGGACACTATGTACCTCCTGTGGGCCTTGTAGAGTATGCATTAAACATAATCCACTCTGAGGTCTTCATGCTGATATGAACCTATGATCATACCTGTGGCCATAAGTCCAGGTATGAGAGTCAACATCTCTCCAGCTGGCTGGATCCAGATAAGAGGATCTTTACTTGGCTGTAAACTGGGTTCAGAAATAAGTCACTATCCCCACTGTGACTGGATGTTCACATGTGATAGTTACAATTCCCGCTGTGGACGGCACTCAGGTATGAGACTTAGACCTCCCTAATCACCTCTGTTCCTGTGTAGGAATGATAATTCTGATGACTGGTGGGTGTGCACACAGAGAACACAATCTCACCTGTGTTCTGGGCCCTGTGATGACACTGTACCATCTGAGTGCTTTACAGGATATGCAAGAGTGCTTACTTTCTCTGACCTTCATAGTAAGAGAAGACCCATAATTTTGCAAGTTTTGTTAAGCCTGGCTGTGAGAGAAAGTATCTCTGCTATTGGTTGGTTTAAGGTATGAATGTCATCATCACACCTACATGCTAGGCCAAAATATATGTGACAATCTCACATTTGAGTAGTCAGAAGCAGGAGAGTCTCATCACCTGGGTCTGTGTCAGGGACATGTTGCAGTCTTCCCTGAGGACAGGGACAAGGCAAGAGAGTCACATCCCTAAGAGTTCTGCCAGGGATATGTTCTTGTTCCCTCCTGAAAGCACGACACATGCAGCAGAGTCACCTCACCTGGGTTCTGGGCCCAGTGATATGTCACAATTTTCCTGTGAACTAAGCACAGGCAGGTGAAACACATCACCTGTTTGCTGGGCCCAGAAATATGCTACAATTTTTCTTTTGAGCAGGGTTCAGGCAGAAATGGGGGGGGATCATATTTTCTAGGTGATAAATGCAGAGCTATGTCACAAGGCCCTCAGTAGTCAGGGTCTTGGCAGAAGCTTCCTATTGACTAGGTGATTGGCCCAGTGATACATCACAATAGCTAAATTATGTGGGGCCCAAGGCAAAGAGGAGAGTTGCATCACCTAAGTGATGAACAAAAAGATACTTCATAGTACCCATGGTGAAATGGCCCATGCAGGTGAGTCACATTACCTACGTGTTGGACCAGTGATATGTCACAATACACAATAAATGTAGGGCGCAGCCAAGAGCGGAGAGTCAAATAGCTCAGGTGCTGGGCCCGGTGATACATTGTAATCTCTCTTTGGTCAGAGCCCTACAGTAGAAGAAACTCAGTTCACCTCGGTGCTGAGGTCATCCATATGTCACAATACCCCTGAGAAATGAGCCCAGGCAAAGAGTCACTACATTTAGGTGAGAGACCCACAGATATTTTGCAATGGCTCCTGTGGGTAGCGCTCAGTAAAAAGACAGTCACATTACCTAGAGTCTTCCCTCAACGATTTGTAACAATCCCTGCTATAAACAGGTAGCAGTCAGGAGAAGTGAGTCCCATCACCTGGGTGGTCAGTGTAGAGATATGTCACAATGCCCCCTGTAGGCAAAGTCTAGACAAGAGTTACATCACCTGGGTGTTGGACCCAGCAATATGTCACAATGGCTCATGTGGGCAAAGCACAGGACAGAGTCACATAACAAAGTGCCAGGACCAGTGTTAGGTCAGGATACCCATTATGGGCAGTGCCAAGACAGGAGAATAGAAGCATATTAATTAGATGCTGGATTCAGAGATATATCATAATCTCATCTGTGGGCTACACCCAGGCAAAAATGTCAAATCACTCAGGTGCTGGCTAGAGGTGTACGTCAGAATCACACCTGCAGGAAGGTCCATGGGTGAGATTAACAATCCCACATAAGTTCCGGTTCTGGGTATGAGAGTGAACGCCTCCTGTATGTTGCATCTATGTGCATAAGTCACAATCTCAATGGAGGAATGGGTTTTTTCCATGAGAGCCTTAATCCCTTTTGAAAACTGAGTTATCTTAGTGGACTCACAGCCTCACAAGTGTTTTGGATCTTGGTCAGGGAGTCACAAACCCACTTAAGGACAACATCCACTTATTAGAGCCAATTTTCCAACTTTTGACTGCCTCTGGGTGTGAGTTTCAGAACCTCAATTATGGTCCATGTTCGTGTGGGAGAATGACAATTTTGACAGATGGCTGGGCTCAGGCAGGAGCATTTCATCCTGCAGGTGTTGAGACAAAGGATATGATACAACACCTAAAATATGCTGGGTGCAGGCAAAAGAGGAGACTCATATTAGCTGGTTGCTAGGTCCAGTTATATGTCACCACCTCCCTTTTTGGCAGGGCTAAGGAAAAAGAGGGGAGTCAGAGCTAAAGAAATGTCATAATGTCCCTGTGGGTAGGGCCTATGCATGAGAGTTGCAACACCTAGTCATTGAACCCAGCCATATATTATAATACACAATGTATACAAGGCCCAGGCAAGAAAGGAGAGTAATATCACATAGGTACTGTGTCCAGCAATATGTCACAATACCCCCTGAGTGGAGGCTCCAGGCAACAGGGTAACATTACCTAAGTGAAGTGCCCAGAGAGATGTTTCAATGCCCCTGGTGGGTAGGATTTTGAAAAAAGAGAAGTTACAGAACCTAGGGGCTAGGCCTAGCTATGTGTCACATTCATCTCCAAGACGGAGCTCAGAAATGAGAGAAAAGTCACATGATGTAGGGCATGTAATATGTCACAATCCTTATGTGAGCAGGCCCTAGGAAGTAGTAGAGAGTGACATAGTCTAGATGATGGGCCCAGAGGCATTTGACAATGACTCTTGTATGTAGGGACCAGGCAGAAGAATCACATCACCCCTGTGCTGTTCCCAGTTATAAGTCACACTTCCTTCTGTGGGCATGACCCAGGCAGGGAGAAGAGTCACATCATCCCGGTGCTACACCCCGAGATATGTCACAATCTCTCTTATGGGCAATGCTCCGGTAAGAGAGGAGAGTTGCATCAAATAGGTGATGCACCCAGAGGTATGTCACGATGCCTTCTGTGAACTCGATCCAGGCAGAAGATTCACAGCAACATCAACTTGGTGCTAAGCCCAGCAACGTGTCACAATCCCTTCTGTGTAAAGGGACCAGGCAGGAGAAGAGAATCACATCACCTGGCTGATGAGCACAGAGATATGTCACAATGCCCCTGTAAGGCAGGGCCCAGGCTGTTGGGTTACATCGTCTGAGTAGTGGACCCAGCAATATTAACACAGTGTCCCATATGGGCAGTGCACAAGCCGGAGAGTCACATAACCTGGATGCGAGGCCAAGCTATATATAACAACGCTTCCTGAGGGCAGCGCCAAGGCAGAAGAGGAGACTCACATCTCCGGGTGCAAGGTCTAGCGATATGTCAAAATGCTCACTGTGGGCAGTGCCAAGGAAGGAGAATAGAGTTACATCCTCAATGTGCTGGATCCAGCAATATGTTAATATCCCATCTGTGGGCTGGGTCCATGCGAGCCCGTCAAGTCACTTAGGTGCTAGGCACTGGGAAATTTCACAATGGAAGCTGCAGAATGGTCCAGGAATTAGATTAACAATCCCACAGCTGTCTCAGTGGTAGGCATGACATTCAACACCTCCTGTGTGTTGGGTCTAAGCCCACGAGTAACCATCTCAACACCAGACTGGATTTGCGCATGACAGCCTCAATTCCTCTGCAGACTGACCTGTGTTCCCGTGAGAGGATGACAATAGTTACTGTTGGCTGGGTGTGCATATGAGTGTGACAATCTCACCTGTGTGCTCGGCCCAGTTAGCACGCTCTGTGTACTACCCAATGGCCCTATACAGTATGCATGAGAGTCGTAATCAACTTTGAGACCTTCCTAATGGTAGGGACCCATGATCGTACTTGTAGCATTAGGCCCAGGGATGAGAGTCAACATCATTACAATTAACTATGTCAGGATAGGAGACTCATCCCTTGCCTATGAGCTGAGTTTAGATGTGGGCCACCATTTCAACTCTGGTTGAATGTTTATATATGAACACAGGCCTAGCACCAATGTGATGTGAGTCTTTGGCCTAGACACTTCAAGCAGGAGGCAAAGTGACATATCTCTGGGTCTATCAACTATTTGATGTGACCTTCCTTTTTTACCTGAGCTTTCCCCATAAAAGAGATGTGACATATGTCTAGACCCAGCACCTGGGTGATGTGGCTCTTCTTTATTGACTGAGCCCTGTGTATTTTGGGTATTCTGACATATCCCTGTACCTAACTTCTGGAAGGTAAGAAGATCCAACATGGGCCCTGCCTAAAAAGTCTCTTGTGACAAATTTCTACATGAATCACCTTGGATATTTGACTCTTCTCTCTTACCTGAGCTTTGCCCATAAGAGAGATTGTTACGTACCTCTGCAGCAAGCACCTAAATGCCGTGACTCTTCTTTCTTGCCTGGGTCATGCCCACAGATGAAAGGTGGCTTATCGCTGTGTCCAGCACACCGGTTATGTGATTATGCTGCCTGATCTCTTCTCATAGGAGCTGTTGTGACAAATCCCTGGGCCCAGAAATTATTTAATACGACTCTCCTCAATGACCTTAACTTTGTGCATGGGATAAATTGTGACATACCTCTGGATCCAGCACCTAGGTGATGCGACTCTCCTTTTCTGCATGGGCTATGCTTACAAGAAGGAGGCTGACTTATTGCTGTGTTGACAACTGATGTGATACCTCTGTTCTTGTCTTCCTAGATTTTAAGAATTTAAACAAGAGACACAAAGAAAAAAAGTACAGCATAATTTATTGGAAAAGAAAATATTTGAAAGTTAAGTGCAGAATACAGTACACCCTGAGAGAGATATTCCAGGGCGGACTGCTCATAAGAGTGAGACAGCGTGGACTGTCGCTGGAGAAACCCCTTTATGGCAGTTTTACATTATTATTAATAAGGAGGAGGGAAGAGGAGTTGCTAGTAAACATGTTCTCTGTGGTATTCTGGGTGCATATGCGCAGTAGCTGTACATGCTTGTTCATATGTTGCATGTCTCGTTAGCATCTTATATTTCCACCCAGGAGTGTACTTCTGTTTGTTTGTTTGTTTGTTTGTTTGAGACAGAGTCTCGCCGTGTTGCCCAGGCTGGGGTGCAGTGGTGTGATCTCTGCTCACTGCAACCTCTGCCTCCTGAGTTCAAGCCATGCTCGTGCCTCTGCCTCCTGAGTATCTGGGATTACAGGCATGCACCATCATACCCTGCTAATTTTTGTATTTTTAATTTAGACGGGGTTTCTCTATGTTGGCCAGTCTAGTCTCAAGCTTCTAGTTTGAAGTTATCCATCTTCCTCAGCCTCCCAAAGTGCTGAGAGTAGAGGTATAAGCCACCGTGCCTGGCTAGAGGGTGCATTTTTTGCTATTAAAATAAGCAAAATTTAAGTTTGAGGGCAGGTAAAATCAAAATACACATGCTCTCTAGAACAGAAAGCCCTTAATAAGGATAGGTTTGCTCGAATAAGCCCAATTACAATGCGAATGCTAAGGCTTATTGTTTTGGCTGTACAGTCACCACGGTTTCTGTATGCCGAGATCATGGTCATTTTCTGGACTATCTAGTCTGCCTCAATTTCCCCCTAAGAGATTTTAGGGCAATAACCATATTGGAGGTTGAGGGGTTAGACCACTTTTTCTGGAGCTGTTTCCTGCTGAGTGGGTGTTACTTCTGCCTAGCCTGGGCCTTAAAATTTCTTCCTGTGTGATCTAACAGGGTGTAAACCATGTCGTTCGTGGAACCAGTGGGAAGATGTTGGCAGCCAAAGATTGAAAGCCTTGCAAACCATCATGCAAACATGGAGCTGCCACAAGCAACATAGCAGGAAATCAGTTAACATTTTAAACAAAATTGGAACAAAAGTAGAAGTTGAAAATATAATAATGACGGGTACTATTAAAGAGAGCAAGGCAGGCAATGGACATCGCTTTCATGTTCCCATGGAAGTTCCTAGAGATTCAATTTTGTCTGCCTGGGTGATGATATTATTAATATTTTCTTGGAATAAACCAGACTGATTGATCTCAAAAAACAGCATTCTTCTTTTAGATATAAACCTGTTCCTCTTTGCTTGGCTGGGAGAAGATCCCAGGCTCTTTGATTTTGTTGGAATACAGTGGCCATGGAGTCCAGACGTTGTTGAAGTCTATTGAGGCCCTCTGCTGCCTGTTGGGGACACACTGAGATTTTCTGAGATAGTTTGTACTGGATTCCCAAGGATCCACCTTATGGTGACATTTGTGCTGCAAAAGTATTCTGCTTTAAAATGGTGAAAGCAGCAAAAGTTTTAAGTCTTTTCTATTTTTCGCAAATAAGAAAAAGTTTTGTGCAGCTGAGTTGGCAGCAGTCATTGGGTCCATTTATGGATGGTAAAGTTGAATGGTGGTCAAAGTTAGAGACTGGAAGGCTTCAGTAAACGCGCTGAAGTTGTCTGAGAGCCATCAGAGCTGTTGCTTACATTGGATTAGATCATTTATTGGGAAGAGAACAAGCACTCTGATGGTCCTCTCTCCATTTGAGACTTTCTGTAAGCGGATCAAATTCTCTGGCCCTGCATGGTGTGAAGCTCCACTGTGAGTAACTGCAGCTGGACTGGTCTCTATTGTAACTGGCAAAGGCTGATAGAGGAGCATAAGGAGGAGATGAAACAAGCTTAGATTCTACAGAAGACTCTGATAGTGTGGGGACGCTGGGGATTCTAAAGCAGGTGTAGGCCTCTGAGGGCCCCTATCTGGAGCTGGTATTAGGCTGTGGGGTCTGGGGTCCCTTGCCCATAAAACAAATGATCTTCTAATGGTTCTGAGGGGCTTTGTGGCTTACTAGGCTTTAGCCCACAGGTGCTGCATAGAGCTGGGTTTTGTTGTCGGGCCAGAAAGTCTTGCACATAGGATATTTCAGACCATTTTCCCTGATTACTACAGAAAAGATCTAGCTGTATGATGGTGTTAAATTTCACAGTCTCATTCTCCAGCCATGTTTTGTCAGCTAATCTGTATGCAGGCTAAATAGTTTTACAAAAGAAGATAATTGTTTTTTTGCTTCATTTAGCCAAAAGCTGTTTCAATTTTTAAATATACATCCCAGGTGTGTTTCAGTGACAGTAGAGGAAGTGATTCCCATGGTGCCAAGAGAATCCTGCAAACGACAGAACATGTACTAAAGTCCAGGAGGCTGTGGGCAGCCCCATGAGCCAAGTGGAACCACCAAGTTGTCCAACTCATCCCCTTGAAACCCCATTAACTGAAGCTCTAGGAGGTCACAGGCATTTGCCATGCACCGTCCTAGCTCTCACCAGCGCTGGACATCTCCAGCCCTGCCGAGATGACCCCCACTGCTCGCTGGGGAGCAGATGTCTGGCTGACAAGCCTTTCCCTAATTCAGTGGTTTGCCATTTATGATGCCCAATTATAACACCTGCAATGCTCAGATTCAATCCCTATGACTGGGCATATCCATGACTGTGCATCTTTTGTTCAGCAAAGAAAGCCTGTTGAAGAACAATTTCAAGGAGCTGGGAAATGCATAAAGCCTAAAGGGACAGGGTTTCCCCAGAACTTTAGTGAAACAGTGCTGGAAGAACCAGCGATAGTTAACCAGGTAGTCTGGAAGTGCCACAGTATTCACGGCAAGTAAAGGGAAAGTGAAATCAGTGAAGCGGACAGACCTCTCTCCAGGCCATGGCAAAAGAAATGTTGATGGCTGATGTAATACCTTGATTCTTATTTTCTTAGTTTAAAAGAATTTAAACAAGAAACACACAGCAAAAGAAGTACAGCATAGAGTAATTTATTGCACACAAAAAAAGAAAAGACTACTTTGAAAATTAAGTGCAGAATAGACGGTACATTCTGAGAAAGAGATTCCAGGGCAGGCTGCTCATAAGAGTGAGACACCATTAATTGTTACTGGAGAAACCCTCCTTCTGGGGGTTTTGCACGATTATTCATAAGAAGGTGGAAAGAAGTGTTAGTGTAAGCATGTTTTGAGTGGTCTTCTGGGTGCACATGTGCACTAACTGTACATATTTGTGCATACATTGCATGTCTCATTAGCATCTTAAGTCTCCACCTAGGAATGTGTTTTTACTATTAAAATGAGCAAAAGTTCAGTTTGAGGACAGATAAAATCAAAATGCACATGTTCTCTAGAAGTAAAAGTCCCTACTGAAGATAGCGGGTTTCAAACGACCCCAAGTGCTCCACATCTTAAATGTCGCTCCAACAAAGCTGGAACACTATCTGCTCCTGAGGGATCCGGTCCCATTTGTGTTTCTGAGACACTGGCAAGTCAGGAGTGACTTGAGATGAGACCGATGATTTCAAGTGTAAAATGCCTAAATAGTCAGCAGCTTCAGGTTTCATTTTGGAGCTTGTCCACTTAAATGGGTTGATGAAAATGGCTCACAAGACTCATGCCTCGGAAATGAGGTTTTCTCCTTTGCTCTTAGCAGATTTTGTGCAACCCAATAATTAACCTTCCTGATGCCTCAACTTTCACATTCGTGAAAAAGGCGCCATTGAGAGTGACATTTCCAGGAAGCCACAGACCTTGTCACCCCCTACAGAATTCTGAAGCTGTTCATAAGCAGGCCACGTGGAAGATTTCTCTCAAAAGCTGTTGAGCATGAGGCTTGGCTAGAGAAAAAAGAGGGCTGCGGCACAATGGACAGTGTCTCAGACATCAGGACAGTTTCCACAGCAGTTTAGGAAAGAAGGCAGCGCCCTGGGCTGCAGAAGGCGCAATGCTCTGGAAAGAACCCTGGGTGCAGCTGAAAGAGGAACTTGAGAAGGATAGGGCCAATCAGTTGAGGACAACCCGCCCGATTTGGGCAAAGGTAAGGTGCCTATGTAGGGTAATACCCTCCTCAATGCTCAGCGCAGACCTGTCCTCTAGGTCCACCTATGTACTCATTCTCCTTGGCAAAGAGTCGGCATAGCATAAGAACTCAGCAGTGCTTTGTACACCGGGAAGTCCACACCGCTCTGCCCCTCCCTCCAGGGCTATGCACCCCGGGTCCCGGTACATGCTGTGATTATAGTTCTGAAGCCTACCGACAAACAGGCTGAGAGCAGTTAACAGACTACAGCTCCCAGCATATTAGGTGGGGCGTGTACCACTCTGCCCCTTCTTCCAGGCCTGTACCTCGCCCCCGAGACTGGCACATGCTGGGATTGTAGTCCTGTAGCCCTTTGACCAAAGGGCTGGGAGTGTTTATAAGAATACATCTCCCAGCAAGCCGAAGGAGACGCACACAGCCCCGCCTCTTTCTCCACTGACGGGCCGTGTCCCTAACCCCAGTGCATAATGGGATGGTAGTCCTGCAGCCCTGTGACACAAGTTCTGGGAGTCTTTATGAAACTACATCTCCCAGCAAGCAGAAGGAGGCATCCACAGCCTAGACTTTTCCTCCAGTAATGCGCACTCTCCCTGAGCCGGGTGCATGCTGGGATTGTAGTCCTGCAGCCCGGTGATGAGAGGTCTGGGAGTGTTTATGAGACTGCAACTCCCACCAAGCCCAGAGAGGCTTGCACAACCCTGCCTCTTCCTCCAGTGACGCGCACATTCCCTGCGCCCGGTCCATGCTAGGATTGTAGCGCTGCAGCCCAGTGACCAAAGGGCTGGGAGTGTTTATGAGACTGCATCTCCCAGCAAGACCAGCGAGGTGTGCAGAGCCTGGCCCCTTTCTCCACTGATTAGCGCACTCTCCCTGATCCCGATGTATGCTGGGATTGTAGTGATGCAGCCCAGTGACCAAAGGGCTGGGAGTGTTTACGAGAATACGTATCCCAAAAAGCATAGCGAGAACAGCACAGGTCCACCTCTTCCTACAGTGACGCGCGTTGTCCCTGAGCAGGATGCATGCTGGGATTGTAGTCTTGAAGCCCTGTGACCAAAGGGCTGGGAGAAATAAAGAGACAACATCTCCCAGAAAGCCCAGCAAGGCGCTCACACGCCTTTCTCTTCCTCCAGTGAGGCGGACTGCCCCGGCGCCCCGTGCATGCTGGAATTGTAGTCCTACAGCGATGTGATGAAAGGGCTGGTAGTGTTTATGAGACTACCTCTCCCAGCAAGCCCAGAGAGGTGCGCACAGACCTACCTCTTCCTTCAGTGACTAGTGCACTCTCCCTGAGCCAGAGATATGCTGAAATTGTACTGCTGCAGCCCTGCGACCAAACGACTGGGGTAGTTATGAGACTGCATCTCCCTGCAAGCCCAGCGAGGCACGCACAGCTCCACGTCTTCCTCCAGTGATACACACTGTCCATGAACCCGCTGCATGCTGGCATTGTAGTCCTGCAGCCCTGTGACCAAAGGGCCAAGAGACCACATCTCCCAGAAGACCTAGGGAGACGCACACAGCTCCGCATCTTTTCCCCGTGTCGCATACTGCTTTGATCCCGATGCATCCTGGGATTGTAGTCCTGTAGCCCTGTGACAAAAGGTCTGAGAGTCTTTATGAAACAACATCTCCCAGCAAACGCAGCGAGGTGCGCACAACCTGCCCCTCTTTCTGCAGTGATGTGGACTCTCCCTGAGCCCCGTGCATGCTGGGATTGTAGTCTTATAGCACTGTGACCATAGGGCAGGGAGACGCCATGGGACTACATCTCCCAGGAAGCCCAGCAAGGCGCACACTGCCCTGCCTCTTTCTCCTTAGACTAGCGCACTGTCACTGAGCTGGGTGCATGCTAGGATTGTAGTCCTGCAGCCTTATGACCAAAGGGATGGGAGTGTTTATGAGAATACATCTCCCAGTACGTCCAGGAGGTGCACACAGCCCTGCCTCTTCCTGCAGTGATTAGCGCACTATCCCTGAGCTGGGTGCATGTTGGGATTGCAGTCCTGGATCTCTGTGACCAAAGGGCTGGGAGCGTTAATGAGACTACATCTCCCAAAAAATCACAGCTAGAAGCGCAAAGCCCTCCCTCTTCCTCCAGTGACGCGCGCTGTCCCTGAGCCCAGTGCATGCTGGGGCTGGAAGTGTAGTCCTTCAGCCCTGTGATGAAAGGGCTGGGAGGTTTTATGAGAATACAACTCCCAGCAAGCCTGGCGAGTAGCACACAACCCCGCCTCTTCCTCCACTGACGCACAATTTCCCTGAGCCCGGTGCTGGCTGGGATTGTAGTCTTCCGCCTCTTCCTCCAGTGACAGGCACTGTCTCTTAGCCAGGTGCATGCTGGGATTGTAGTCTTCCCGCCCTATGACCAAAGGGTTGGGTATGTTTATGAGAATACATATCCCACCAAGTCCAGCGAGGCGTGCACAATGCCGCCTCATTCTGCAGTTACGCGCACTATCCTTGATCTTGGTGCATACTGGGATTGTAGTCCGGCTGCCCTGTAATGAAAAGTCTGGGTGTCTTTATGAAACTACATCTCCCAGGAAGCCAAAGGAGGCTCGCAAAACTGTGTCTCTTCACCCAGGCACATGCACTATCCCTGATCCCGGTGCATGATGGGAATGTAGTCCTGCAGCCCTGTGACCAAAGGGCTGGGAGTGTTTATGAGACAGCATCTCTCAGCAAGCAAAGCAAGGCCTGCACAGCCCCGCCTTTTCCTCCAGTGAGGCGCACTGTTCATTAAGGAGTGTTCATGAGATTACATTTTCCATCAAGCCCAGCGAGTCACGCACAGCTCTACCTCTTCCTCTGCCAGCGCGCACTGTCTCTGATTCCGGTGTATGCTGGAATTGGGGTGCTGCAGCCCTGTGACCAAAGGGCTGGGAGTCTTTATAAGACTACATCTCCCAGCAAGCACAAGAGGTGCTCACAGCCGCACACCACCCTCCCCGCCCCACTCTTCTTTCAGTGACCGCGCACTGTCCCGTGAACCTGGTGCATGCTGGAATTCTCCCGTTGCGGGATTCAGGAGGATGAGAGAGACCCCGGGTTGAAACAGGAGAATTTTTATTGAGTGCACTCAGTGTCAGGCCTCTGAGCCTAAGCTAAGCCATCGTACCTTCTGTGACCTGCACGTACACATCCAGATGGCCGGTTCTTGTTTTAACTGATGACATTCCACCACAAAAGAAGTGAAAATGGCCTGTTCCTGCCTTAACTGATGACATTGTCTTGTGAAATTCCTTCTCCTGGCTCATCCTGGCTCAAAAGCTCCCCAACTGAGTACCTTGTGACCCCCCCACTCCTGCCCACCAGAGAATAATCCCCCTTTTTCCTTTACCTACCCAAATCCTATAAAATGGCCCCATCCCTATCTACGTTTGCTGACTCTCTTTTCGGACTCAGCCTGCCTGCACCCAGGTGATTAAAAGCTTTTATTGCTTACACGAAGCCTGTTTGGTGGTCTCTTCACACGGACGCGCATGAAACTGAGGACAAGCTAACTCACATCAAAAAGACTGGGCCCGGAACAAAGACAGAACCTGACTTTTATGCACATTTCACAAAAGGTGGTGGGCTAGCTTGAAGCAAGTTTACAGTGGCGTGAAAGCAGGGATACAGAGGCAGGACAGACAGGATTGCACATGACCGTTGCCAAGCAACCCACATGTCCATTTTCTAGGTTTCCCTGGGCATGGGCTTATCCTATAACCCTCACTATGGTGCCCAAACAGCTGTAGTTCAGCCTACTCAGGCTTCTCATGACTTACATTGTACTTCTTAGATAAAACAGAATACTTGAAGTCACTAGTTACAGAGAACAAGAATCTATAAACTCATTCCGTAAAAAAAGGAAATTTGTTTTTCTTTTCCCGATGTTGGGGGAGCGTTGGGAGAGCCTCCAGAGCACATTAGATAATATTATCAAGACTATTCCTGGTTCTGGGCTGTGCCTGTTGAAGCCTCTGGGACAAGTCAGCCCAATACAAGAAAATTTATTTCTCTTTCTTTTTAATTTTATTTTTCTTTAATTTCCCTCCTCAGTCCCACAGCCCTGTGACCAAAAGACTGGGAGTGTATGTCAGGCCTCTGAGACCAAGCCAAGCCATCGCATCCCCCGTGACTTGCACGTATACGCCCAGATGGCCTGAAGTAACTGAAGAATCACAAAATAAGTGAATATGCCCTGCCCCACCTTAACTGATGACATTCCACCACAAAAGAAGTGTAAATGGCCGGTCCTTGCCTTAACTGATGACATTATCTTGTGAGAGTCCTTTTCCTGGCTCATCCTGGCTCAAAAAGCACCCCCACTGAGCATCTTGCGACCCCCACTCCTGCCCGCCAGAGAACAAACCCCCTTTGACTGTAATTTTCCTTTACCTACCCAAATCCTATAAAACGGCTCCACCCTTATCTCCCTTCGCTGACTCTCTTTTCGGACGCAGCCCGCGTGCACCCAGGTGAAATAAACAGCCATGTTGCTCACACACAGCCTGTTTGGTGGTCTCTTCACACGGACGCGCATGAAAGTGTACAGTTACGCTTCTGTTCACTTGTCATGAGACTGTTTTCTTTTACCCACATGAACGTACTTACCATAGCTTCTTTCAAATCTTATCTACTGATTACAGCATCTTGCACATCTTGAGAATAGGTTCTATTGTCTGCTTTTTATCTTGTGAATCGATTACACTTTCATGCTTCTTCACACATCTCATGAATTTTTAAATTGTGTGATAGGAACTACAGGGACTCTGGATTCTGTTGTATTTCTTTGAAAATTATTATTTTAAGAGGGAGTTAATTTGAATAGATTCAAACCCCAATCCTTATCTCTTCCACAGTGGCATAGATAAAATCTTCATTCAGTCTTCTAAACAGTGTGCCTTTCTATATAGCAAAATATAGTATTTTATTAAGCTTTATTATTGTTATCTGTGAAATAGTTATTCAACGAACTAGTCTACTTCATTATTACTGGAAGCCAGAACCTCAGTTGTGTTCACTTTCTGGATTTTATATAAGTGAAATTATATAATATGTATACTTTTACATCTACTTTCTTCTAGGCAACTTTATATTTATGATATTAATTCATGCTATTGCAGATAGCTATACTTTGTTTATTTAAAAAATATTTTTTACATTTTGGCAAAGTATACATAAAATTAACCATCTTAACTATTTTAAGTGTTCAGCTCAGAGAAATTAACTACACTCACATTGTTTTGCAACTATTATTCCCATTCATAAGGATCTTTTTTCAACTTCCAAACCAAAATTCAATACACATTAAATAACAGCTCCCTGTTACTCCCCCTCCAGCTCCTAGGAACCACTCTTCTACGTGGGTTTCCAGAATTTAACTACTCTAATTATCTCATAAGTGGAATGATACAGTATTTGTCCTTTTATGACTGGCTCAAGTCACTTTGCACAATGTCCTTAAGGTTCATGCATGACGTACCATGTGTCAGAATTTCCTTATTTTTCATAACTGAATAATATCCCACTGTATGTATAAATCACATTTTATCTATTTATTCATTGATGATAATTCAAACAACACAGGTAATTCAAAAACCTTTTGAGTGATGTGAGTCATGCTGCTATGAGCTTAGGTGTACGTGTATTATTTTGTGTCTTCGCTTTCACATCTTTTGTAACATACCAAGATGTGAAATTGCTGGATCATACGGTGATTTTGAGTGTAAATTATTTCGTTACTATGGTGTTGTTTTATAGCAGCTGCAGCATTTTACATTTCCACCAAGTGTACAAGGGTTCTAACTGCTCCACTTCCTCACCAACACTTGTGATTTTCTGTTTTTTTTTTCTTTTTGTACTAGTTATGCTGATGTGCATTAAGTGATATGTCATTTGGGGTTAGATTTTCATTTTACTAATGAAAATGAAAAGGTTTTGTTGAGTACCTTTTCATGGGCTTATAAGCCACTTCACATAATTTTTAGAGAAATATCTGTTTAAGTATTTTGCCCATATTTTAAACAAGTAGTTTATTATTGCTGAATTGTTCTTTGTATATTCTGGATAGAGTCCTCTTTATCTATTTTTCTTTTGTTTCTTGCATTTTTGGTGTCCTGTTAAAAGAAATCACTGCCAAATCCAGCCTTATGACGTGTTTTACCTACATTTTATACTAAGAATTTTGTAGTTTTAGCTCTTACATTTAGGTCTTTGATCCAGTTAGTTAATTTTTTCTTATAGTAGAAGTTAAGGGCCCAGCTTCACTCTTTTACATGTGGGCACCCAATTTCCCCAGCACTAATTGTTGTAAAGGCAGTTCATTTCCCATAAAAATCATTTGACCTTATATATGAGGGTTTATTTATATGGGCCTTCTATATTACTCCATTAGTCTCTTTGTAGCATGCTATTTTGGAATTTTGTAGTAAGTCTTGAAATCATTAAGTGTGACTTGTCTAACTTTGGTATTTTTTTCAAAATTATTTTTGCAATTTAAAGATCTTTGAGATTCCCCATAAACTTAAAAATTGATTTTTTAATATCTACACAAGAGTAATTGGCATTTTACTTCTTCGTTACTTCCTAACTACTTTATTCTTTTGATACTATTGTAAATTGAATTGTTTTCAGAGTTTTCTTCTCAGATTATTCATGTTACTACATAAAATGCAGTTTGTTTTTGTATGTTGATTTTGTATGCTACTATTCAGCTGAATTTATTAGTTGTAATATTTTTTGTGTGGAATCTTAAAGATTTTCTACATATAAGAATATATTTTCTGTACACACTTTGATGCAGTTTATTTCATTGTCTTTTTTAATTTCTCTGAATGAAACTTCTAATACAGTGTTGAATAAAAGTGGCTAGCAAGAGCAGATATTCACTCTGTCTTCGGAGCTTAGAGGAAACACTTTTGATCTTTTCCTCTGGAATATGTTGTTTGCTGTGGGTTTTTATATGTGAATTTTACAAAGCTGGTTTCCTTTTATTCCTAATTTATTGTTTTTATTATAAAATATTTTGAATTTTGTAAAATACGTTATCTGTATTAATGAGAGAATACTTTTTAAAAAGTTTGTCAATGTGGCATATGCATTGATTAATTTTCATATGCTTAAACTTTTGTTAAGAAAGGCTAGCTAAGTGAACCAGTGAGACTGGAAAAAGAATAAAGAAATCTATACTGGTTGTGATCAATTATTTGTAAACACCACTGCACTGAAACCACCCATATGCTAAAACTTCCTTTCATTCCAATAATAAACTCCCCTTGGTCATGGGTTGTAATCTTGCTAGTATGCTGTTGAATGTAGTTAGCTAGGATGTTGCTGACTAGTTTTGCATCCGTGTTCATAAGGGATATTAGTCTATGGGTTTTTGTAGTATCTTTGTCTGGCTTCGGTATGAGCTAATGGTGGCTTCATGGAATAAGTTTGGAACTGCTCTCTTCAGGCTTTTGGTAGACTTTGGAAAGGATTTTTGTTCTATAAATGCTTGATCTAAATCACTAGTGAAGCCAACAAAATAAGGGCTTTTCTTTATGAAGAGGCTTTTAATTACTGATTCCATTTCCTTAGTAGTTTTGTATCTATTCAGATTTTGTATTTCTTTGTAATCAAGTCTTGTATACCTAGGAATCTGCCCACTTTATCTACGTTTTCCAATTTATCATCCTATCATAGTTCACAGTACAGTTTTTTAAACATTTTAATTCTTTGAATTAGTAGTAATGTCCCACTTTCATTTCTCATTTTAGTATGTGAATATGCTGTTAATTTTTTGTGTGTGTAGCTGAAAGTTTGCCAATTGTTAATTTTTTGAAGAAGTGAGAATGAACTTTTGGTTTTTTGGAATTCTGTGGTTTGTATAATCTCCATTGCATTTATCTCTGCTAAAAGCTTTAATATTTTCTTCTTTCTCTTTGCTTTGCATCTAATTTGGTGTTATTTTTCTAATTTACTAGGTGATAAAGTTATTATTTATTTGAAATCTTTGTTCTTTTTAAATGCATTTTAGCTGCAAACTTTACATCTTAGCACTCTTTTTGCTGTTTCCCTTAACTTCTGATGTGTTTTGTTTTCATTTTTCTTCCTCTGTAAGTATGTTCCAACTTCCTCTGTGATTTCTTCCTTTACTTATTTGTTGTTTAAGGGTATGTTGTTTAATTTATACAGTTTTGTAAACTTTCTAACGTTTCTTCTGTTATTGATTTAATTTGAGATCTACTACACAGCCCATCGTGGGGAAATCCCCATGTGCATTTGAGAAGAGTGTGTAGTCTCTTTTGTTGGATGGAGTATATTGTATATATCTGTTAGATCAATTTGGTTCATTGAGTTATTCAAGAACTCTATTTCCTAATTTATCATCTATCTCATTTTTCTATTCATTACTCAGAGTGGAGTATTAACATCTTCAACTATTATTTTAGAACTGCCTTTTTGCCCCTTTAATTCTGTCAAGTTATGCTTTCTATATCTCAATGTTTTATTATTAGGTATGGGTTTAAACTATTTCTATCTTCCTGCCAAATGGACAATCTATGACTATATAATGTCTTATTGTCTCTTTTAAGTTTTTAAGTCTATTTTGTCTGCTATTAATATAGTCATTCCCAGTCTCTTTTTCATACTATTGGTATAAAATAATTATTTTCTTCCTTTTTTTTTATAACCCTCAAGTCCTGTGGAAGGCTAAGAGCAGCATTACTTAATTTAAAAAGCAGATAAATCTTAAATCCATAGTTTAATATTTCTAAAAGCATTTAAATGGAAATGAGCTACGCAGTCTACCAGGAACGAAGGATATCAGTTGGGTCTAAGAATAATCATGTCAAAAAGCTCTAGGAGGAAAAGCTGCTGGGAATTAAGACTGTGATAACGGTCTTTGGGATCAAGAAGGAAATGGGGAATTGGGGATGCTCAAGGTCAGGTACATGCTTAGCAAAAGACCCAGAAAACCCTAAGCTCTCACCTCTGCATTTTAAACTCTGCACAAGTAGAAAGTAGAGGCGCAAGGAGAGATGTAACTTTATGCTGATTGGTAAAGGCATGCTCCAACACACATACATAGATCTCAGGTGAAAAAATCAGATATTTATGTTTAGTGAGAGTTAAAAAATCTGGAGTCTTACTTTCCAATTAAGGTTTAGTGAAAATATTTGGGGAGATTTGCATTGATCAATTCATCCTGAGGTCAAGAAAATCTTGATTTTGGCATTTGGAGCCTCTAGTAAAGGACTAGCCTCCTCCCAGAGGTGTTCTTTGGGCTTTTGGACTCAGTGACACACTACTGGTTACACTGATTTGAAAGTCAGCTAAGAGCTTGCTGCAGAACTCCTGACAAACTCAGTTTCACCCATAGAGGGCTAGAGCATCCCCAGCTGGTTGAAATTTTATGCCTCCTTCTATCCTCTGAAGCAAAGATGCTGTCTCTGTGGGGCCCCCAATTTACTGAGTGTTTCCTATATGACTGGTCCTGGTTCATAGATGAGTCAGGGAAGGTGAAACCTCATGATGTCCACTGGGCCGCTGTGGCTGTTTAACCTGTGCCAGCCATACAGAACCTGACATGAGTGGTTGCTCCTCTCAAAGGTCAGAACTCAGGGTTTGGGATAATGGCACATATTCTATCTGTTTGGTTATCTACAATGGAAACTGTAGACTGTCTGAATGTCTTTTGGGCTGCAAACTGGAGACAATCTCAGATGCTGATCTAACTGGATCACTCATCTAGAAGTCCATGGTAAGGGTTTGTTTTCTAGAGAGTGACAACAATCAAGCTGCAGATTGAACCTAAATCTGTGTCTAACGCAGAGTCTAATACTGCAAACCAGACTTGGGGTTGCTGGTGAAAGTTGACCTATTTGTCTCATGGTTGAAGAATTCCTAGACCATACCAAGCAGAGTAACCAGAAGTGGACTTTTGGCCCACTTCTTGAGATATCAGTCACCACTCTTGACATCTTCAGCATAACAGTATGCCGACACCATCCATACCATGTGTCCCGTGAAGCTAATCTGTGTCATCTTTTAGGCTTTTGAGACCAATTGAGCTCTGACTTCGCGGCATTTTTCACCACACGTACTAAAACAAGCCAACTCTATGATGTTCCCTCCTTTTCCACACATGCTGGTTAGATAATTTGTTGATTAGGTATGGTTTATTTTCTCTTCCTGATTGCCTCCAAGATAAGGATGAAATGTTTGGGGGATCTAGGAATCATCTAGGAATCTATTTCACAAACTTGGAATTTCGTGCTAATAATTCCTGGGTGAAATGTGACTTTCTTTCCCATAACTGCAATTCTAGGCAAGCCTGGCTTTTGTATCCTCTGAGTTGCATCTCAGCCTAGTAGCAGTTATGGGACTCCAACTTAGTTCCAGCTAAGTTTTATGTAAATATTCTTGTCTCTATTTTACCTGGCTCTAGTAGATAAAGTGTCTAGAAAAAAGTAGAGGGCGACTAGAATAAAGATGAGATTATAGGTACCGGAATGAGACACACTGATTCTGTGGAAGTAGTGGGAGAACAACCTGGAACCTGGGGTATGAACAACACAGACCTCGGAAGCTACGGGAAACGGTGGGACATTAACAACTTTTTTTCTTTCTGAACAACCCCTGGTGCAGCCCACAGAAAGGTCTGGAAATACTATTAGTTAGATCAGACGGTAAGGCAGAGGCTGTGGATTCATCTCCTTTTGGTCCCCACATTACTCTTAAGAATCCTTTGAGACTATTCTATCTCTCCGTGATGTAGGCATGGAACTCTAGTGGGCAGTGTGCACTCTCGGTGCCCATGGTTCCAGGCCACAGTTTTTCAGATGATGGACAACAATTGCTTTTTCCTGAAGAGACTTAGTACCCTGTGGCTGAGCTTAAGCGGGACTCTAGACAGCATTGATTGCATTTTCTTCTTCCTCTACGAACTGGGATTTCTCCTTCTGTTTTTCTACTGCCTAGAGGTGAATCTGTATTTGTCAATATTTAGGTAAATCAGAGACATAAATCAGGTAAGGAACCCTAGACACTGCTTCTAGGCTAGCTGGACTCTTGCCTATTTCCCTTCTCACTTTATGAGATCAATTATATTGGCACAGGTTGATACCCTTAGATAGTGTCTCTAAGGAGCAATTAGAGAAGCATACTTCTAGAGAAGCTGGTAGGACAGGGCAGGAGGGCCAATGAGGATCAAAGTTTCTGTCCAAATTTTTGAGCCTAGGTGTGTGTGGCCGACGAATCCAGGAAAGATCCCAGATCCCTGGAAGGGATTGTTAAGAGAGGATCCATTAGATTAGAATGCTAGGGTGGGTGTTCATCCGTCGCCTTCTGAGTGGGATTTTCAGGGTTAAGACTGAGGTAGGGCTGCAGAGAAATGCTATCCTGGGAAAGCCTCTGATCGAGTGCAACATAGGTGGCTCCAGCACAAGGAGAAGTCCTCTATTTGAGGAACATTATACTTGTGTGGATGTGTCTGTGCTCTTCCTCAGCAGAGCCCCACTGACTGAATGATTGTTTGAGAATTATGAGTAAAGAGCCCTATATTATTTTGAATTTAGTAAATATTGGAAGAGAAACAAACAATATTATCTACTTTCAAATTGAATAACAGCATGAGCAACTTCCAGGAAAATGTCACAGGAGGAAACTCCAGGGCCTTGCTCATCCCTGGAAACCTTGAAAATCCTGATGCAACCTGTAGGGTTAAACTTATCAATACTTAATTTTTTGCCATATAGATTTATCTTCATAAAAAATATTTTCATTGGACCTTCATTTTGATATATGCCATGAAGAATAAATCATTTATTTCCTTTGTGATAAGAACATCACATTTTTACACCTCATGTATAAATGATGCCATCACCCATGTAGTTTTTATTGCTATGGCCTGAATGTTTATGTCCCCTTTCAAATTCATGTGTATAATTTTAGGCGTGAGGCCTTTGGGAAAGTGGTGAAGCCAAGAGTTCTTCATCTTCATGAATGGAATCAGTGCTCTTTCAAAGGAAGTTGAAGGGAATGCCCTTGTCCCATGTGCGAGATGGTACCATCTATGGGGAATAGGGCTCTCACCATATACGAAATTTGCTGCTGCCTTGATCTTGCACTTTCCAGACTCCATAACTGTGAAAAATACATTTCTCTTATTTATCCTTTACCCAGTCTAAGCTATTTTGGTATAGCAGCCAAGATGCACTATGACACTTTCTTAGACACTTTGGTTTATTTCTGAATTTTTAGTTTCAGTGATCCATGAGTTTTTTAATCAATCAAGATTTTACACAGGGCTTGCCAGTGGTTTTTTTTTTTTTTTTCAGAGTTTTCTTGTCTATTCTTGTTTGTGTTTTCATCTATATAACATTTTATAGTAACGTGTACTTGCAATATTTAATGGTATCAGTATAGGAACAAAATTGAATTTATAAATAACTATAAGGACAATTGATGTTGATAATATTGAGTTTTTCTGCCTAAGAATATGATACAAATTGTCTATTTGCTTATGTCTACATTCATATATTTCATAAACTTTCTATGTTTTTTCCATATTCCGTAGATATTTTTGTAATATTTATTCCTAGTTTATTCTGCTAAAAAGTAATTTGAGACACAATGAAATTGCAAAGTGTTTATTTGAGTAAGAGCATTTGATAAATTATAAAATATCAGACGGAAAGATATTGAGTGCTTCATTGACAGTGTAAGAAGCAAGTATTTATTTGAAAAATGTAGAAACAAAGAAATCATTTGGTGGTAGCACAACTTTTTTTATTGTTTTTTGTTTGTCTGTTTACCTTGTTGGACAGTTTCTATTTATATAAGGTTGTTGGCTACTTCTGACTGGTTGAGCTTCATTTCTCTTTTTTCAATATGCAGCTACAAGAAATAATGTAAGTTTTGTTTGTATTTGCAAATCAAGCGAGGTTGAGATCACTTATGAGACCTAACTAATTTTGTCTGCTCAGAGATTATTGAGACATGATCTCCATTTTAATTTCCTTTAACAAATTTTCTGTACTTTTACTTTCCATCCAAACAGTAACTTATAAATTATTATTGTTGTACATATGTAGGCCCATGTTGTGTATGCTTTGAAGACCTGTCCTGCATTCAAACTCATTTGTATTATGTTATTATTGAATTTGCCCCATTTATTGGAATTATAAACTGCAATCCCCCAACTACAAGAGGTATGAGCTCTGATGAGATAAGAGTAAAGATGAATCAGAAGTGAAAACAGTCCTCCAACCCACACATGCAGTAAAAACAAATTTCACATGAATACAATGAGTAATTATCTAAAATTTAAAGTACCCTGAAAACATTAATGTTTATCTCATTATTATGTAATATGGAAATTACAAGGCAAAAAAATCCAAAGACTTACTGTTTAAATATAATTGAAGTTTTTTATATGATGAAGTGCTCCATAATTTAAATGTAAAAAGCCAATAGGAAATATATGAAATAAAATAAAATTATACGTAAAAGTGACAATGCCTCTATTAGATTTAACAGTATCTTACAATAGAATAAGTTGAAACCTACAAAATGGAAGAAAGTTTAAAATTAGGCAGATATTATCAGCCTGGTGAAGAATAAATACATATGTCAATAAGCATTTAATGTATTTTGTCTTAGATTTTACATGAAATAATAAAAAGTAAGCAAACCAATAGCATGGTAGTTTCACCCTGATTGATTCAAACTGAAAAAATATTAACATTTCTCCATGAGAAGTTGGATTCATGGATTGGCCTCATGCTGCATTCAAGGCACTTTAGCCAGGATCCAACACTCATTGCCAAGAGTCAGCAGGCTAGAAGTTTGCTTTTAAGATGTTCCCCGGCCTGCGACCAAGACGCTTTTTCCTGACTACTTCTTCAACTCTGACATAGGTTTTGCTGATATAAACGCAAACCCGGCTCTATACCTACCAAGTATCTACTTGGCTAGAGCTGCAAATGGAGCATTTAGGCACTAGGCAAGAGCTCTTCCCACGTTTCCAAGCACACTTTCTAGAATTTCCCAAAACTACTGACATTGTCTTTCAGACCCCATCTCCCAAAGAGAATCAGAGAGATAGTCTGGAAGCCATTTAGAATCTCCAGCCTCCAACCTAGTAACAATGGACTTGGATACAAAGACGCAACCTACTGACCTCAAAGACACCAGCCCAGATTCTGGGCATTGAATTCCTGCCTCCCCATGAAAGATCTCAACTGAGTCACATCAAAGCCCACACTCTTCTTCAAGGTTCACCTTCCAGACACGCTCCAAAACAGTCCCTCAGAATTGTCTTGAGATGAAACAAAAGGTGATGAAGGTCCAGTTTTGGAATGCCTGCCTCATTCTTCACTCCTGAAAAGTCTACACCTGCTGGTTAGCACTCTCATATGTTAGGGAGCCCAGGCTCTGAGTGCATCCTTTAACAGGACCTCCTGGCCTTTTCCTACTTGGAGTAGAGTGCCCAAGAATAATAGGGAATACAAGGCCTCCACTCTCACATGGCTTGATTGACTGATGAACTGATGTCGGAGGAGGAAACATATGTAGGGAACAGCCTGGGTCTTGTGAATCCGTTTCCCAGCTATGATGCCTGTGCAAATGGAGGGAGAATCGTCAAGTATTATTGGGTGGTAGACAGACACTGCCTAATAAAATTAAGTAAATGTAAGGTGACTTGAAGGGGAATTTATCATATGTCATATACAAAATTTTAGTTGGTCAACTTTATTTAAAAACAGTCACAATTTGTAAGGGCATTCAAATATAATTTTAATAGGGAGCTATGAAAATTATCTGCACTTGCTATGTAAGTGATTGAGTTGGGGTAACTATCTGAAGGTCATGAGCTTGATATCTGCTACTTAATTTCATAAGACATTTACTTGCAAATGGTTGCCATTTTTGCTCTCACTATATGAAAATTTTTTCTTGCAAAGAGCATTCCTATGAAAGAAAAACTAGAAATTTTGCCAATTTCGGCTATTAAAACGATAAAACTGGTTTGTTTGTTATTCTTAACCAAATGCTCTTACAGATGACACATAGTACCCATGCTTTGATTGTTTTTTGTTTTTCTTTTCACCTTAGGTCAATTGCCTTTCATTTTATTTATCAAACTGTATTTACTGTAGATAGACATTGCAATTCTCATGTGCCCTATGGATTTGTACTTTCTTAGAAGTATGAAAAAATTCTCAGGCTGAGTATATTGGCTTATGCCTGTAATCCCAGCAATTTGGGAAGCCGAAGCAGGTGGATCACCTGAGGACAGGAGTTCAAGACTAGCATGGTCAACATGGTGAAACCCCATCTCTCTACTATTCACAGTTCACATTGTACCTTGCAATGAATATACATTTTATCCAAAAAGGCTAAAAAATAATGAAATTGGGGTGGGAATGGCTGGAAGTATAGGTGAAACAAAAATGACACATGACTAGTAGCTGTTAAATCTGGGTGACTGGTCTGTTATCCTTTTTTTGTATTATGTATACGTTTTTAATGTTCTGTAATAAAACACGTGTAGAAAATGACAAAGTTTATCTACACTTAGCTCTTAAGGTCTTGGTTACCTTTGGGAAGGAGAAAGTGTCAAGGGCATGAGCAAATCTGATTCTTACATACACAAGTGTATTTATTTAGTAATAATTCATCAAGCATTCCATAAATATTTTGTTCCTATATTGCTGTATGCATGTTATTCATCAATAAATATTTAAATAGTACATATTTGCATAACAATCCTAAATTAATATTTTAGAATAATAGTAATGTTTTGTTTTGTTTTAAAGTGGGGCGTGTTCACTCAGGACATCGTCAGGTGTATATTAATGTTCCAAGATATTTATTTACGTTTTAACTTTTGGAAGAGTCCCCTAGGTCTTTTAATTTTTACCTCAGTACAGTAAGTAGCATGGTTTTAACTTTTTGGATTGCAGCTTTGTTTTCAGAAAGGTTCTCCCCGAAGAATGATGCTCACCCCGGCCAGCGCACACAGCACAGTGACCCGTGCACAGGATGCACTGAGCACACACGGCACTGGGTGAACCATGAACAGAAGGAGAAGCCAGCCTGGGTCTGCAAAATATACTTTGCAGGAAAAGCAGGTAAAATTGAAAGGTCACAATTCAGCAGCAAACGTTTTTACATTCATTTGAGAAATCATTTCTAACAAAAGCTGCTCGTTAAAGCCATGGTTTTCTGGCTTGCCTACACATTGTAATCACCTGCACGACTTTCAACCGTATTTTTTTCAGATCCAGCTCCAAGGATTCTGATTTAATTGAGCGGTTACAACTTGGGTTTAAGGGATTTTGAAAGTTTTCCTCCCCGCAGGTGATTCTCTTGCGCCAGGGGTAAGAAGCGCTGGATAGGGGTGAGGGATGCTTTAGCTGTGAGAGACAGCCATGTACGCTTCAGGATTTGCCCCATCACATATCTGGAGTTCAGGGTCTTAGAAAATATTCTTGCTCTGTTAAAAATTAAAGGATGGCTTCAATACAAATTTAGCTATTTGGCTACGTTGCAGAAAAAGAAAATGCCTTTCCAGAGATCAGTTTTTTGAGTCAGAGTTTTGTTCTGTCAGTGAGGCTGGAGTGCAGTGGTGTGATCATGGCTCACTGCAGCCTTGACCTCCCAGGCTCAGGTGATCCTCCAGCTCCAGCCTTCTGAGTAGCTGGGACTGAAGGCATACACCAGGCGTGGCTAATTTTTCAATTTTTTTTTTTTGTTGTTGTTGTTGAGATGGCTTTCTCTATGCTGCATGGGCTAGTCTCAAACTCCTTGCCTCAAATGATCCTCCCACATCAGTCTCCCAAACATTTCAACCTACAGGCACAGGCAACCATGCCTGGTGTATTTATTAAAATGTAGCTACTAGAATATTTAAAATTCACATGTGCCTCACATATTATTTCTTAGAGAATTGCCTCATTTTTGAAATCTCAGGCTGCCTGCTCTAAAACCTGGATGTGCCAGGAAAGTAAAAAATCTGAAATTTTAAAATAATTGTCATTATATTGCTTCCATGTATGAATAACACATATATATTTTTCATAAATACAAATAATCTTACACACAAATGAAAATGCAAGTATTTTACAGGCAGGGCCAGTGTCCAGTGCATGAAGGAAGCCCTGCCAGAAAAGGATCCTGGAAAAACCTATAATTCTTGCTTTATTCAATCCAGTGTCAAATCACATATGTCACTCATGGCCTGAGGGGGCTTGGTGGGGAATTGAACTATATCCAGTCACGGGTGCTGGAGTGGAAATTATCTAATCAGGTGCACAGCTGGAGAAGAATGGACAGCTTTTTGGATCTAGGGATGCCTTTGCCTGTCTCTCCACTCAGAGGTCAGTACACTAGAGCCACCTCAATGCAATCGCCTGTTTTTTAGTTGTTTTAATGCTCCAAAAAAGAATTCGTTTTCTCATGCATTTTCCAAATGTGTGGCAAGAAGAGCCTCAAATCTACCACCCTGTTACCCCAGCCTAACTCTTGCTTGCAGTCAGAGTTTAAATTTCCAGTTCTTTCCTGACACTTACCAACACTAACTAACCTTGTGTAACTCACAACATTATCAACTGTTCTTTATTGTACATTTTAGACACAGTATTTTAATTCTGCATTTTTTCAAAAAGCAGTGGATGGCACTTAAAAAAATATTTTTCATTTGTAAACATTTTACAGGACATGAAAGCAGATAATAATCCCCTGACAATCCACAGTAAAAAAAAAAAGAAAAGAAAAGAAAAGAAAATATTTGTGCCCCTTTCTTTAATCTTGCCTTGGCACAGACACCCCATCAGAATGTCTTTGGGTTGAGGTTTCATTTCTGAAACCTCACAGGGCAATACATCCTCAGCCATCCTGTGTTATTTTCTTGGTTTTGGGTTTCAAAACTGCTTGAGAATCCCCAAGATACCAACACTGGCCATGACTCTTGAAGTGTCTAGTAAATAGCATCCCTTGTGTCATCTCCTCTCAGGGAACAGCCCAAGGTATGGGAATGCAGCCTCTTTTTGGAGTGGTTGGATGCACTATACCTGGAAGGAATCTCCACGTATACCTTTGCGTTAAAAGCAAACCCCTTAGGACATTAAGAATTTCTTACCCCAACGCTTAGTTTCCATTCCTTAGAGACACATTGCAGGCCAGGCAACTGGATGCTGATATTGAGGAAAAAATGTCCTCAGATTGGTGAAGGGAGAGAAAATATTTCAAAGGATAAAGAAACCCAACCTAGTGAGGCAGTGCAAAAACCTGCAAAGTAAAATGCACCTTACAGACACAGTGGAGCAGAGCGTAGCAGCTCCTGGTAGGACGCTCATGACCCACATCACTGAACCAGATAGGAGCAGGGAAAATATCCCAAGTAATAGAACGGCTTGACTTGACCCTTGGGTCAGATATGTCTGTGTTTCAATCAGCATTGTCACCTTCTAATTTTGTCACCTTGAAAATATGATTGTATTTATTTTAACTTCACTTTTTCATTAACTGTAAATTATGTTTTATCAGTAGAGCTTCAAAGGTATGAGAATATTTATAAAGCACATTAAGTTGGTGAATTTTGAATAAAATTAAGTAGTAATATATTTCACTTGTTAAAAATTGTTACTTGCCTATTTCTTTAGCAGAATGAGTGTTGTACATTTCCCAGGACTGTTTTTTATTTGTCTGAGAGGTGATTTCAAGCAGAATCTCACGGCTTACTGTTGGGAATGTTACCAGGTGTATAGATAGGGATAGTCTCTCTTCCACTACGGTGGTAGGAAATGAATACATACCTACAAGCACGTGAGGTAGATTAATTGTTAAATTACATAAATTTATCACATCAGTTATTCTTTTTTCAAAACAGAGAACTTCTGATAGTGAATATCTCTGTTTCATATGCTGTCATCTGGGTGTTTGAGGGTAACGCTAAGTTTTAGGAGCTGGGACTTGGCACCGCCTGGAAGTGTTCACATATGATTGTTTACTAAATGATTTGTTATGAACATAATTAAATTACATGTTTATTTTCTGAAAGGGATAGATACTTTGGCTTTTCTTGATGAATTATAAGATATAAGCCCCTTATAATGTTTTTATTTTATTTTATTCTGTTATTTTTTAGATGTAGTTTCACTCTTGTTGCCCAGACTGGAGTGCAATGGCAAGACATCTGCTCACTGTAACCTCCACCTCCTGGGTTCAAGCGATTCTCCTGCCTCGGCCTCCCGAGTAGCTAGGATTACAGGCATACAACACCACACCTGGATAATTTTGTATTTTTAGTAGAGACGGGGTTTCTTCATGTTGGTCAGGCTGGTCTCAAACTCCTGATCTCAGGTCATCTGCCCACCTAGGCCTCCCAAAATGCAGGGATTACAGGCATGAGTCACAATGCCCGGCTGTAATTTCCTCTCTTTTATACCTTAGATTTGAATAATTTTTGCTGGATTCTTCAAACATGAAGTATTTTTTGAATTGGAAACTAACTGAATGACTAACTGGTAAGTAGAAGTCTTAGACCATCGACTAAAAGCTAAGGCCCACCTTGACCCAGCAAAAGAGGACCACTGAAGGCTCAGTTGATTATTCCTGGGTGTCTGCCCTGCAGGTGTCCAAGCCTACTCACACCAATCATGGAAGGAGCCTTTGTCACTGCCAGAAGATATAGAGCCTTGGTAAGCTGGAAGTTCACAGGCAGATGCAGTTGAGGTAGAGATAGAAGAAATGTTGGGAGATTCTTTTTAGAATGGAATTGTTATTGTCCTCAGACTGTTTCTAGACTTGGTCTAAGAAGTTACCTAAGAAGTATTGCAACAAAGAAAAAGTACAAATGATTAGATCTTTGAGTATCTCTAAGGTTAGGTGGAAAAGTGCCTTATTTCATAGGGAGGAGAAAACAAGTTTACAAAGAAGGTTGGAAAGGAAGCACAGGATGGAGGGTAGCAAAATGAGATCCCAGATAAGATAATGTTTCACCTTGAACTCAGCCTGTTCTTAGGAGGGTTATGTATAAATAAGGGTTGTAGGTTTGCTGAAGCTGTGGGTGAGTCAAAGTTCAGGGGCTGTTTGGAAGAAGAGAAACAAGCAAAGTTTCTGTAAAGAGTATGTTATTTTGACCACTGAAGACTAAATTACTGAATGGTTGTTGATTTTTAAAAATGGGAATTTGCAACCTGTGTCCATTTTTGTGATAGGTTAAAAAAACAGCAGGGAGCATCCTCAAAGTCATCACGGGAAGCACATTTCTCTTCACTAAGCTGTTCTTTGAGAATGCAAAGAATGGGGGAATTTCTTTAAATATAGCTATTTCCAGGATTACCTTCACCCACAACTGTTCCTTGCCCTAGACATCTCTTCCATTTGGCTGTTTCTGAGTTATATTTTTATAATAAAGTAGTAAATATAATTACAGTTATTTGTTGAGGTTTTCTTTTTAGTAATTCTATCAAATTATTTAACTTGAAAAGGGGTTTATGCTAGTCTCAGATTTATAGGAGGTAGCTCAGAAGTGTAGATGGGCTTCAGGGATGTGTAACTCTCCTCTACAGTGAGAGAGGTGATGTGGGACTGAGCCCTGAATTTGTGGGGTCTGTGCGAACTCTAAGTTGTGTCAGAATTAAATTTTGAGGCAACAAATGGGTGTTGGAGAATCAGTGGGTTTTCAGGGAACTTTACACATTTAGGATCAAAAACATAAAAAGAAAGACAATGTGGGGGCCTCTGCTGGAGAGAGACTCCAGGTGTCTCGGGGAAGGTAGGCTCTGCTCTGCACACAGGCTGCTACACCATGCACTGCCCTGTGGTTCCAGGCATCCTCCCATGGTAAGAAGGACCGACGACTCTGAGGGAAGAAGTTCTGAGAACAGATGCCTTCTACCCTCCTGCCAACCTGAGGCCACCACATGTTTTTCACCCACTGAACATACACACTGCATGTTGACGTGGTCAAGCCCCTCCCAGCACAGGGCTTCGGCATCAAGATTGTGGCCCATGCTACCTTTCCTCATAGACTTTCCCACCAAAAACCCACACACGTGCCTACAAGACCCCTGGCATATGCTCTACCTCAGACACCGAATCTGCACGGGCAACCTGGTTTTTTCACCATCCCAGGTTTCTGTGCCACCTGATCATAATCTCGTCTTCCTGCATGGACACAGAAATAAGTCAGAGTAAAGTTTCACCTGGGTCAGTATCTGTAGCATGAACCAGTCCTTCCACCAACCCTGTAATGTCTCCCAATTGTGGGTTCTTAATAGCACCTTCCCCTCTTTTACCTTTTAGTTCACCTCAAACCTTTTATTTACGTGCACTTAGTGTGTCCAAGCCACCCCTCAGTTGCCTGAATCCAGCACCTACTAAAATTCAGATGTCCAGTAGTTCAAGACCATGGGCCTAGGCCATGTTTTTGCAGAAGGAAATACATATTAGAAATGAGAGGCTCTATCCTCCCATTTGAAAATTAAAAAAGATATTTTTTCTTTTCCCTTTTCTTAAACAATGTAATTTAGAGAACTTTTTTTAGTAATTTTTTGAGATGGAATCTTACTCTTTTGCTTAGTCTGAAGTGCAATGGCATAATCATAGCTCACTATAACCTTAACTTCTTGGGTTTGAGCAGTCCTCCTGCCTCAACCTCTTAATTACCTAGGACTATAGGCATGCACCTCCAGGCCTGGCTAACTTTATTTATTTATTTATTTATTTATTTATTTATTTATTTATTTATTCAAGACAGTGTCTTGCTCTGTGGGTCAGGCTAGAGTGTAGTGGCATGATCTTACCTCAATGCAACCTCCACCTCCCAGGTTCAAGCAATTCTCTTGCTTCAACCTTTTGAGTAGCTGGCATTACAGGCGCACAGCACCATGCCTGGCTGATTTTTTATTGTTATTATTTTTAGGAGAGAAAGGGTTTCACCATTTTGGCCAGGCTGGTCTCGAACCCCTGACCTCATTATCCACCTGCCTCCGACTCCCAAAGTGCTGGTATTACAAGCGTGAACCACCATGCCCAGCCATATTTATTTTATTTATTTTTTTATGGTGACAGAATTTCACCATGTTGCCTGTACTGGACTCAAACATTTGGCTTCAAGATATCCTCCTGCCTTGGCCTCCCCAAATGTTGGGATTACAGGCATGAACAGCCGTGCCTGGCCTGGAAAACTTTTATATGTATCTTTTTTTCTCTGCTTCTTTGAAATATAAGCAAATCATTTTAACAGCTAAATAAGCCTTTTGCCACCTTCATGACACAGAATTGTCTTTGTCTAAGACCTGGAAACTATTGTTTTGTTTTTTAATTTGGCAAAGATTTATTGATTTTTTATTTTCAGTCTTTTGAAGTAGGCACAGCTCAGTACAGTGGCTCATGTTTTTAATCCCAGTGCTTTGGGAGGCTGAGATGAGAGAATTGCTTGGGCCCAGGAGTTTGAGACCAGCCTGGGCTGCCTAATGAGTCTCCTTCTTTATAAAAAATTAAAATCAACTAGCAGGGCATGGTGGCACAGGAGGCTGAGGTGAGAGAATCATTTGAGCCCAAGAGTTTGAAGCTGCAATGAGCCATGATCACAGCACTCTACCACTGTACTCCAGCTTGGGTAACAGACGGAGACCCTGTCTCTAAATAAATAAGTAAATAAAAAAAAGTGTTTTTCCATACATAAAAATAAGTAAATAAACAGATAAATAAAATAGACATGGATTTGCTGAGAATAAAGCTAATTACAAGATAACAGAAAAGTGAGCACCAAAGATGGGGTTCACCCTAGCAAATTATTCCAGCCTATTAGGACACTCACAGAATTTTCCCTGCAGCATGACCGACATGAAAGTAGAATGTCATCATGTCAGGCTGTACCAGCGTTGGAAGACTAAACACTGTGGGGAAGAACCTCCCTTATGGAATATTATCAACAGGTGAGAGCCCAGCTCCTGCCCTGATGGGCTACAGAAATGAGTTCCTGAGATAACACATTGCAGAAACATGCATAGAGTAGTTTAACCTTTTTTGTGTGTAACCCTCTCACCATTTTCCTGCGAAATCCTCCCTAGTAATAGTGTTAGCTTTTAAGTTTTGAGGGTCCGATAGGACTGAAGCTGCATGCTGCAGGAGATACCTGGGGCCGGAAACTAATACAAACTGCAGCCACAGGCATAAATACTCATGGTCTAATGTAGAGTGAAAACAATACAAAATTCTTTATCGTTATTCGCACAAGTGTGTGAAGAGAGACTTTCCACATAACCAACTTGCCACTGAGACTAGTGAAGGCCAGATTCCACTGGAACAAGGCTATGAGTTACTCATGGGAAGGCCGTAGGACAAAGCCCAGAGATTTTTCATATTTGAGTCTGGGTCCTGTTTCTTTCCCTGTCTTCTCAGCTTTCTGTCTGTAGAGACCCCTATGTGGCTGCTCTCAGCACAGCCCAGTGCTGGCTGTGTTTGCTGGTTTAGTGCACCTGCTCTTTTTCCAAAAAGAGGGAGGAGTTGGCCACATTAAACTGAATGATGAAGCTCCTCATCAATCTGAATGCAGCTTTGTAAATGTGCCTAGAAACCACGCAAAGAAAAGTCTGTGTTCTTCCTTGCTTTGACCGTATGTGACACCTCCATTAGAAATTCTGCTTTTCTCTGCACTCCAGCCTGGGTAACAGAGTGAGACTTCATGATAAATAAAAAAGAAAGAGAGAGAGAAGGAAAGAAAGAAAGAGAGAGATGGAAAGAAAGAAAGAGAAAGAAAAAAAAAAGAAAGAAGAAAGAAAGAAAGAGAAAGAAAAGAAAAGAGAAAAGAAGAAAGGAAAAAAGAAAAGAAGAAAGGAAAAAAGAAAAAAGAAAATAAAAGAAATTCTTCTCTTCAGATTAGGCACATAAGGAGAATCTGTATAAATCTCCATGAAGGAAGGAAACCAGAGGACAAGTTAAAGTCTTGGAATTCACATCTGAGTACACAGACTCGTTCTCCAACCCTCTTCTTTTTATTCTGCCAGCTATGGCCTAGGTATGAACATGACAGGTACACAAGAGTTCCAACACCCGACAATCTACTTCAGTCCAAGAAGAGTGCCCTCCCTCTTGCTCCCCATCCAACTCATGGTACTAAGAAGTGGTGTGGGACTGCCCAGATGAGTTGACAAGAGAGGCTGGCGTGGAGGGGCCTGTCCTGGGCTGCCCTGTGTTATTTGTAGGTGCACCCGGCCAATAGCCAGGGACATCAGTGATGAGGGCTCAGTTGACATCTGTGTTATCAGATAAGACTTTTACATTGAGCCTTTGTAAGGCTGAAACTCAGAAATTTCAGGGCACAATGAAAGAGCATCTCACTCTCTTGAGCAACTCTCACAAACAGAGGTGGATACAGAGCTGTCTCAAGAATGTGGATTCCTGGTTTCTTAACTGCTGTTGGGTTCTGACACCAAGAAAGTATGTTAAACTCTTCAAGGTTCCATCTACTGGGCCCCATGTTTCTGTAAGACATACCGAAAGGCCCCACTATGCTACTGATTGCTCAGTCTCCTCTTCCATGTCAACTCTTTATTTGTACACAATTATGCAAACACAACTTCCCCTTAATTCCCTGGAAAGACCTAAATGCAACCTGGGTTCCAGGATAGAAGAGACAGCTGGAACATAACCTTGTTTTTCTTACCATCTCTGGGACCCAGTAAAAGTCACTGTATTCGAGGCTTCCCCAGCCTCCTAACATGCACACTGGTGATGATGCTAACATCTACTTCCTAGGGAATGTATTAGGTGTATATAAGATAAGACATAAAAATAATGATGTAGTGTCACCTGTAGATAATGCATACACTTAGAGATGGAAGCATTAGGAGAATAGGTGGGAGGTAGCATGGGCCACAACTCAAACAGGCCTGGTGTCTGCCAGGGTGATCTTGGAAATATCACTTCTCCACTGGGCCTCATTTTCATTCTGCTCCAGTATGAAGTTGAAATTAAATGTAGATACTGTCCTCTGGCATTCATATAGTTTAGCTGTGCGTCCCCACCCAAAACTCATTGTGTATTATAACCCCTAGGTGTTAAGGGAAAACCTGAGGGGAGATGATTGGATTATGGGGACGGGTTCTCCTCATGCTGTTCTTGTGATAGTGAGTTCTCACGAGATCTGATAGTTTCATAAGCATCTGGTACATCCCATGCTCTCACTCACTTCACTTGTCAGCCACTGTAATTGGAAGGTTTCTGAGGTGCCCCCACAATTATGTGGAAATGTGAGTCAATTAAACTTCTTTACTTTATAAGTTACCCAGTCTCAGGTACTCCATCATTGCAGTATGAGAATGATCTAATACAGGAATTCAACTTTCTAGTGCTTTCTCTTTATATTTAGAATCATATCCATGTGCCTTATCACGTCTATGACAGAGGAAGTCTTCACAAAGTCTCCCAGTACTAGGTATTGAGTGACTCAGTTTTTTATTGAATAAAATGGAATACTTCCTGATGCCAGTACTATGGCCCTTCGGTTTTGAGGAAAATATCATCTTGTATGTTGGCTAACAAGGAGATAGGAGTTCAAATCAAATTTGTTTTGTCATACTGGCTTTAAGGCAGTGATTAGAAAAGGCCTAATAGGTGGGTTCTGTAGGGGATTGCTGGAAGGAAAGTAGGAATATGGAAAGTCATGAGACATATACAGTCATCTCTTCTTGTTTCCTCACAGGTCACATACAAATTCAGGGAGAGTTAGTATGAAGCACACAATGGAAATTTGGGCTCCAAAGTCTGCAAAGTGATGCTTCATGGACTTCAGTTGGCAATATTGGTTCCAACAATTTCAGCCAATGTTTAAAAAACTTATAGCAGTTAAATTTTTAGTGTTTCAACAAGCCGTTTCCTATCTTTCATTCTGAAGATCCATTTTTTAAGTCTTTTTTTTTAACAGTATAGGGGGTACAAATTCAGCTTCTCTCCAATGAAACACAGAAAAGGATATCACTTTTGTATTAGTTCAGGCTGCTATGCCAAAGAACCATAGATAGGCAGCATATAGACAACAGGACTTAATTTCTCATACCTCCAGAGGTTCAAATTTGAGATCAGGGTGTCAGCATGGTTGAGATCTGGTGATGACTGGCTTCTGAATTTCAGCCTGCACACTTCAGGTTTTACCCTCATTTTGCAGGAGGATGAGAGCCCTCTGCGGTTTCTTGTATAAAGCCAGTAATCTGTATTATGAGGGTCCCACCCTAAGGGTTTAATTACATTCTACCTCCTTATAGCATTACGCCCGGGGTTACAATTTTAACACAAATATAGAAGAAAAATTATAGTAACTCTCAAGTTTTTTTTCTTTCTTTCTTTCTTTCTTTTTTTTTTTTTTTTTTTTTTTTTTGAGACACAGTTTCACTCTTGTATCCCAGGCTGGAGTGCAGTGGTGTGATCTCGGCTTATTGGAACCTTTGCCTCCCAGGTTCAATTGATTCTCCTGCCTCAGTCTCCCAAGTAGCTGGGATTACAGGCATGCGCCACCACATCTAGCTCATTTTGTATTTTTAGAAGAGACGGTGGTTTCACCATGTTGTCCAGGTTGGTTTCAAACCCTTGACCTCAGGCGATCCACACGTCTCAGCATCCCAAAGTGCTGGGATTACAGGTGTGAGCCACCGCACCCTGTCAAGATGTTTTTAAAGCTCTAATTTTTCTCCTACTGGGTTTTTCTCGTTTGCGCCCTCGATCTTTCTGTCTCTTTTTGTGTAAACCTTTTTGTCTAATTCTGTCTATTGTATTCCTCAAACACAGGAAGCAAGCTCCAATGCTATGAGATGCTCCATGTAGAGACCCACATAACAAAGGGTGAGAGGGTGCTCAGACGAGTAGAGAGAAGGAAAGTCAGGCTCTCCAGCCACACTAAACCCTGTCAATTTTCACATGAGTCAGCTTAAAGGCTCATGCTTTCCCAGTCCAGCTTCAGTTAAGACCACAGCCCCCAGTCTCATAAAAGACCTGAAGGCAGAGGTAGCCAGCTGAGCTGTGTCCAGATTCTGGTCCACACACATTATGAGATATTATATGTTGTTGAAAAGTGCTGACTTTTAGGGCAATGTTGTCAGAAAGGAGCAGATATCTAACCTCATCTCCCAGGCCCTAGGATTCTCCATCCCTCTGCTTATCTCTTTCTCAGGCTGTCTGCAGCCAAACTAGTCCCTTTTTACCTCTGCCAAACTCACACCTATGAGTTTTTTCACTAAGGGTGGCTTCTCCCTGACACATGCTTGTGCAGATGCCTCCCTGCTGTCATCCTCATCATGGATTAAAAGTCACCTCAGTGAGGCCTGAGGTCCTCCCATGCAATAATTTTCCAGGTTTTCTTCTCAATAATCTACTTTATATTATAGTCCTTGCTCTTTTCTTTCACATATACTTGCTTTAGTGCTTTTGTCCAGCGGTCCTCAGATTGTTTGGTCCTGGGTTGGGGGGTGCAGACATGAAGTAATAATTTTCTGTACCACATGTTGGACCCACCAGGGTCGCTGGCAAATGGTGAGCGCAAGGGAAAAAAGACTGGCTAAGTGATTATATGGGGGATCCCTAATATCCCTTCCCCTTTTGACCACCTGATAATGTGGACATCACTGATAACAACATGAGGTGTGTGACTGTTACTTGTTCCAGCTGCTCCAGCAAAGCTCAGTGGGCACCAGAAACACAGTAGGCTGTAACCACCTCCTGGCCATCACTAACCCTACAGCCCCAAGCAGGAGCACTACTGAACAAATCTGATACCTTGATTTTTCTGTCCTCAAGACACTGGTTCTTCAAGGTCCTAGGGGATAAAGTAGCAGGATCTGAAGGCCCCAAGTATAATGAGTGAACTAGGAATCCCGTTTTGCCCTCTCTTTGCCTCCACCTTTTTGGTTGTGCTATTTACTCATGAGGTATCC
This sequence comes from Homo sapiens, assembly GCF_000001405.40. Lineage (NCBI taxonomy): Eukaryota > Metazoa > Chordata > Mammalia > Primates > Hominidae > Homo > Homo sapiens. Next base: position 248,096 of record NW_021160026.1, on the reverse strand, counting down.
TCCCCTTATCCAGTGAAATTATTTTCTACCACTTTCAAATGAGGACCTTAAGAACGCAACAGTAGCTGAGATTTTCCGTGGACCTCAGCCTCAGAGTCCAGTGCTCTGGCACATTTAACTCTGTCTCATCTTCATCTACCCAAGATGCCTCTCAAGTGGCCATGCCTCCCTCTGATTTGAAGGATCTGCAGAGTGGGTGCATTTTTGCAGTCTCAGAGCAAGAATCCAGGCTGGCAGACACTTATGAGTATGTGAAATCATCAAGGTCACCCACTTCAGGCACCCCTATTTATGAGGAAGAAAACAAGCTTTCCTGTAGGCACTGTCTACATTAGGCTGAGGTGGAGCATAGCTCATTTTACTTCCAGTTGCCCTCAGAGCTGGATGCAGAACCCCAGTCCTGTTATCTTGAAACTGACATGGAGAGGACCCCATGTGAACAGAACCCTGAATCTGCTCATTTTCTGTGCTCCTGAATGTGTAGCTACAGACTCTAATTTCGAAAACAAACCTGATAAGTGGGACGGTGCCAAGGCCTAGGAAGCTGGAGCCCTCTCTAATGCTCTGGAGCCTGCCCACCTCCTGAGATCTGGACCAGTCTCTGCCTCTTCTGGGGCCTCAGTTTCCCAATTGTAATGTAATGAGAAATTAAATGTAAAACTGCATAAACATATGCTCTGTGAGAATTTGGTGTCAGAGTTCTCAATACTGGATGATAATTTGGAGTGGGGTGGGTTTGGGACCCATGGGTTCTCAGGCCTCCTTTCACACCCAGTGCAGTAGGTGTAGAGCTCTGGACAGCCAGGTGTTCTTTCCTGAGCCAGCTGATTACAACACAATGGACCAAGGGCTCTGATCTTAAATATGGTTTCACAGGATACCCCACCTTCAGCCACCACCTGCTCTGTGCTTCCCATATTTTGGGGAGCTGATGACAAACCCCATTATAGTGAAGAAGAACAAGAAACTAGACTTGTGGGCCTGGGGAAAAGAAAAAAACACTTCTATTTCTCCCAAACTGTAGAATCTCTTGTCAAATATTTAATTTTGATTATATCTGAGCTTGATAATACATTCATGTGTTAACAGCTGCTTAAATTTATTTTTTCTGTGAAGTGTGGGATAATGTCTTTGCCGTATTTTAAATCAAATTCTAAAAGCTCTCTTTAGAGTGGATAAGTGAGCATCTTTGTAATATAAACTTCACATATTTGTTGCCAGTTTGTTCTTTTTGTTTTTGTTAAAATGTTTTGTTTTATTCTGATTTGGATGTCTTTTGGCGTTTTGCTTTGTGGCTATTTATTATGACAGTGTAACTTCTCCTCTAATTGACTGACGGTTTGTACATTCTCAATAAAATATTTTCATAAAATCTTTGTAAAAATTGTGTAGTCAATTTTACATTACATAAACATAAAACAGTAAAGACTATCACGATGAAAAAGGAAGATTGAGGGCTTAAAAAGTAAAATACGACACAGCTAAAGTAGTCTGAAAGGGAAATTTACAGCACTAAATCCCCACAAGAGAAAGCAGAAAAATGTCTAAAATCGACACCGTAACATCACAATTAAAAAAACTAGGGAAGCAAGAGCAAACAAATTCAAAAACTAGCAGAAGACAAGATTTAAGATCAGAGCAGAACTGAAGGAGATAGAGACACAAAAAGCCCGTCCAAAAAATCAATGAATCCAGGAGCTGGTTTTTTTAAAAGATCAAGAAAATAAATAAACTTCTAGCCAGACTAATAAGGAAGAAAAGAATCAAATACATGCAATAGGAAATGATAAAGGGGATATAACCGTTGATCCCACAGAAATAAAAAGTATCATTACAGAATATTATAAATACCTCTTTGCAAATTAACTAGAAAATCTAGATGAAATGGATAAATTCCTGGACACATATACCCTCCCAAGTGCAAACCAGTAGGAAGTCGAATCCTTGAATAGGCCAATAACAAGTTCTAAAATTGAGGCAGTAATTAGTAGCCTACCAACAAAAAGAAGTCCAGGACCAGACGGATTCACAGCCGAATTCTACCAAAGGTACAAAGAGGAGCTGGTACCATTCCTTCTGAAATTATTTCAAACAATAGAAAAAGAGGTACTCCTCCCTAATTCATTTTATGTGGCCAGCATCATCCTGAAACCAAAACCTGGCAAAGACACACCAGAAAAAGAAAATTTCAGGCCCATATCCCTGATGAATATCGATGCGAAAATCCTCAATAAAATACTGGCAAACCGAATCCAGCAGCACATCAAAAAGCTTATCCACCACGATCTAGTCAGCTTAATCCCTGGGATACAAAGCTGGTTCAACATATGCAAATCAATAAATAAAATCCATCACATAAACAGAACTAATGACAAAAACCACATGATTATCTCAATAGATGCAAAAAAGGCCTTCAATAAAATTCCACACCTCTTCATGGTAAAAACTCTCAATGAATTATGTATTGATGGAACCTATCTCAACATAATAAGAGTTATTTATGACAAATGCACAGCTAATATCATACTGAATGGGCAAAAACTGGAAGCATTCCCTTTGAAAACCTGCACAAGACAAGAACACCCTTTCTCCCCACTCCTATTCATTATAGTATTGGAAGTTCTGGCAATCAGCAAAAGAAAGAAAGAAATAAAGCGTATTCAGATAGGAAGAGAAGAAGTCAAATTGTCTTTGTTTGCAGATGACATGATTGTATATCTAGAAAACCCTACCATCTCAGCCCAAAATTTCCTTAAACTGATAAGCAACTTCAGCAAAGTCTCAGGATACAAAATCAATGTTCAAAAATCACAAGCATTCCTATACGCAATAATAGGCAAACAGAGAGCCAAATCATGTGTTAACTCTCATTCACAATTGCTACAAAGGGAATAAAATACCTAGGAATCCAACTTAAAAATGATGTAAAGGACCACTTCAAGGAGAACTACAAACCACTGCTCAAGGAAATGAAAGAGGACACAAACAAACGAAAACAATCCATGCTCATGGATAGGAAGAATCAATATTATGAAAATGGCCATATTGCCCAAAGTAATTTATAAATTCATTGCTATCCCCATCAAGCTCCCATTGACTTTCTTCACAGAATTAGAAAAAAAACTACTTCAAATTTCATATGGAATCAAAAAAGGTCTTGCATAGACAAGACAATACTAAGCAAAAAGAACAAAGGTGGAGGCATCATGCTAGCTGTCTTCAAACTATACTAAAAGGCCACAGTAACCAAGACAGGATGGTACTCGTACCAAAACAGATATATTGACAAATGGAACAGAACAGAGGCCTCAGAAATAACACTCAACATCTAGAATCATCTGATCTTTGATGAACCTGACAAAAACAAGTAATGGGGAAAGGATTCCCTATTTAATAAATGGTGTTGGAAAACTAGCTAGCCATATGCAAAAAACTGAAACTGGACTTCTTCCTTACTCGTTATACAAAACATAACTGAAGATGGATTAAAGACTTAAACATAAGACTTAAAACCATAAAAACCCCAGAAGAAAACCAAGGCAGTACCATTCAGGACATAGGCATGGGCAAAGACTTCATGACTACAACACCAAAAACAATGGCAACAAAAGCCAAAATTGACAAACGAGATATAATTAAACTAAAGAGCTTCTGCACAACAAAAAAAACTATATCAGAGTGAACAGGCAACCTAAAGAATGGGAGAAAATTTCTGCAATCTATCCGTCTGACAATGGGCTGATATGTAGAATCTACAAAGAACTTAAACAAATTTACAAGAAAAAAAGAAACAACAACATCGAAAATGGGCAAAGGATTTGAACAGACACTTCTCAAAAGGAGACATTTATGCAGCCAATAAACAAATGAAGAAAAGGACATCATCACTGGTTATTAGACACATGCAAATCAAAAACACAATGAGAAACCATCCCACACCTGTTAGAATGGTGATCATTAAAAAAATCAGGAAACAACAAAGGATGTGGAAAAATAGGAAGACTTATACACTGTTGGTGAGAGTGTAAATTAGTTCAACCAGTGTGGAAGACAGTGTGGTGATTCCTCAAGGATCCACAATGAGAAATACCATTTGACCCAGCAATCACATTACTGGGTATATACCCAAAGGATTATAAATTATTCTATTATAAAGATACATGCATACGTATGTTTATTATGGCACTGTTCACAAGAGCAAAAACTTTGAAACAAACCAAATGACCATCAATGATAGACTGAATAAAGAAAACTTGGCATGTCCACATCATGGAATACGATGCAGTCATAAAAAGGATGAGTTCATGTCCTTTGCAGGGACATGGATGAAGCTGGAAACCACCATTCTCAGCAAACTAACACAAGAGTAGAAAAGCTAACATCGCATGTTCTCACTCATAATAGGGAGTTAAACAAAGAGAACACACGGACACAGGAAGGGGAACATCACACACTGGAGCCTGTCGGGAAGTGGGGGACTATGGGAGGGATAGCATTAGAAGAAATATTCCTGGCCTAGGCCACTATTGCGATTTTCTAAATTTTGTTTCAAAAACATGATATGTTTCAAAAATTGTTATTGGTATGTAATTATATAAATATATAGTTCAGAAAAAAGAATCAACATTAATTATGCTTTTTCCAAAATACTTTATGGTTTTGAGCTCTTCTAGCAGTGACATTTTTGCTGTAGGTAATTGCTGTGTATCTGGTATATTCATCATAGCATACTTTGTGCCGTTTACACTTATCCTTCAATTTCCCACTCTCCTAAGTGTAAAAGTTCAAGGCCAGAGCTCCCATATCTTCCCAATATTACTTTTTGAAAAGAAGCTTCTATGTACTGTTTTCTCTGGGTCTTGATTGGATATATTGCTAAAAGAGCTGAAAAATAATAATTTTTTTAAAAATTCGGTGATGAGATTAAAGTAAATATATTTTATAAATCTAATGTACAAAATGAGGTCAGCTGAGAAGACAATGACAGTTGAAGCAGAACCTGAGATCCTGTTTCTCTCCATTGACATATGAACTTAACTACAATTGGGCGAACAAAGCCAGTTGAGTTTGTAGCACCCCACATGAGAAAAAAGCCAACCATAACCACATTTAGAAGAAAATTTGGTCACATTTGTGCACTACAGAACAGCGCAGTTAGATAAAAATCTGTCCATTCCATGATTCTCCTTTGGGAAAGAAAAAAGAGTGAAATGCGTATGCAAACTTCTGACTTACTGAGTTATACCGGGGTTATCTAAAGACTGGAAATTGCTTCCTTTAACATTTAGTGTTGATGAGAATAGAGACTGAGTTTAAATGACAGCTTGGGTCAACTGAGAATAAAGATAAATGCTTCTTACAACAACAGAGACTGTAGTGCCTACAACAGTGACGAAGGGAAGAGACTAAAGGCTCCTAAGAGGAAACAGAGGTAAACCTTATTAACAAGAAAATACATACAGTAGTCCAAAGAAGACACATTTTGACAACAGATTGGAGAAGCTCCCAGTATGACTACTGTGGCTGAATGTTGTCAATTTTCCCATGTATAAAGCTCTTTCATAAAGGATAAAATAGGTAGTGGTTTCTTAATTGATCAAAACCTTAACAAAACTACAGTAAGTAAAAGCAACCAGGAAATATAACCTAATCAAAGGAGAAAAATATATATTCAAGTGAACCTAAAGAAGTGGAGATCTAGGAATTATTTTTTTAACTTAAAATCTTTTTATTTTTCTTTACTTTTTCATTTTATGCAGAGGATCTTACTTTATCTCCTGGGACAGAGTACACTGGTGGAATCACAGCTCACTGTAACCTCAAATTTCGGAAGTCAAGCAGTCATGCCACCTATGTCTCCTGAGTAAATATGACCACAGTTGTGCACATTACCCCTCCTGTATAGTTTCTTTAAAAAAATTTGTACAAACAGTATGTTGCTGTGTTGCCTCGGCTGGTCTCAAACTCCTGGTCTCAGGCAATCCGACTGCTTCAGTCTGAAAGTGCTGGCACAAGCTACCATACCTGGAATTGTTTCTCTTTTAAGAAAAAATAGCTTTAAATCATTAATAGTAAAATAAAACAAAGAAAGGTATTGCGTAACGATAAAGGGTTCAATTCAACAAGAAGACTTAACTATCGTAAATGTAGATGCACCCAACTTTGGGGAACATAGAGTTATACAACAATTACTGCTAGAACTACAATAAGCCTCAAGTAGACACACAATAATAGTAGGGGAATGCAACTCCCCACTAAGTGTTTGACAGATTATCTAGGCAGAAACTTAACAAAGAAATTCTGGAGTTTGATTCGACACTTGATCAATTGAAACTAATAGACATTTATAGTATATGCAACACATCATCTAAAGAAAGTAAATTCTTCTCATCTGCTCACAGAATATGACAGGCCACAATGGAACAAAGATAAAAATCAATACCAAGAAAATCTCACAAAATCACAGAATGATATTGAAATTAAACAACTTGCTCCTGAATGAATTTTGGATAAACAAAAAAATTAAGGCAGAAAATTAAAAAGATTTTGAAATAGAAGAGACACAATATAACAAAATGTCTGGGTTGTAGGAAGAGCTCTGTTAAGAGGAAAGTTGAGAGTGCTAAATACCTGCATCAAGAAGTTAGAATGATCTCAAACTAACAATTTAACATCACACTTAGAGAAACTAGAAAAATAAAAACTAACTTACCCCAAAGCTAGCAGAATGGCAAAAATATTCATAACCTATGAACCTGACAAAATCTAATACTCAGAATCTATAAGAAACTTAAAGAATTCACAAGGAAAAAATTACCCCATGAAAAAGTGGGCAATAACAGACACTCTTCAAAAGAACACATACAAGTGGCCAAATAACATGAAAAAAGCTTATCATCACTAACCATCAAGGAAATGTAAATAAAAACCACAATAAGACACCATTGTACACCAGTTAGAATGGTTTTTGTTAAAAAGTAAAATGATAATAGATGTTGATGGGGTTTTAGAGGGAAAAAACCACTTATACACTGTTAATAGGAATGTAAATTAGTTCAGCCACTGTGGAGAACAGCTTGGAGATTTTCCAAATAACTGAGAGTTAAACTGTGATTCAACCCAGCAATTTCACCGCTGGGTATATACCCAAAAGAGAATAAACTATTCTACCAAAATAGCACATGCACTTGTTGGTTCATCACTACACTATTCATAAGAGGAAGGACCTGAATCAACCTACGTGCCTATTCATGGTAATTTTTTATTTTTTTGAGATGACGTCTCACTCTGTTGCCCAGGCTGGAGTGCAGTGGCACGATCTCAGCTCACTACAATCTCCACCTCCCAGGTTCAAGCAATTCTCCTTCCTCAGCCACCCGAGTAGCTGGGACTATAGGCGCATGCCACCAAGCCTGGCTAACTTTTGTATTTCCAGTACATACGGGGTTTCATTACGTTGTCCAGGATGGTCTCGATCTCCTGACCTCATGATCCACCCGCCTTGGCCTCCCACAGCACTGGGATTACAGGCATCAGCCACCATGTCCAGCCTATTGATGGTAAATTGAATTTAAAAAGTGTCACATGTACAGCAATACTACTTAGCAAAAACAAACAAAAAAAACCTCCTTTGCAGCAACGTTAACACAACTAAAGGCCATTATACAAAGCAAATTAATGCAGAAATGGAAAATGAAAATACTGCATATTCTCACTTATAAATGGAAATTAACACTGGGTACACATGGACAGAAAAACAAAAATAATAGACAACTCTTAGAGGGTGGAGAGAGGGAGGGACCAAGAACTGAAAAACTGTCTACTTAGTACTATGCTCACTACCTGATTGATGGAATTACTCATACTTCAAACCTCAGCATTATACAAAATACCCATGTAAAAAACCTGTGTAGGTACCTCCTAAATCTAAAATAAATTTGAAATTCTAAAAAGAGGTCTTACTCTCTCACCCAGACAGGAATACAATACGATGATTATAGCTCAATGCAGCCTCAAGTTCCTGGGGAACTCAAGGAATAATCTTACGTCAGCCTCCAACTTCCTGAGACTACAGGAACATTCCACAATGCCTGAGTAATCTGTGAAAATATTTTTTACCAATAGCTTGTCACAATATTGCCCGGGGTAGTGTCGAACTCCTGGATTTAAGTAATTGACAGGGTTTGGCTCTGTGTCCCCAATCAAATCTCATCTTAAATTGTAATAATCCCCACATGTCCTGGGAGGGACCCTGTGGGAGGTAATATTTTTATCAAAATATCAATGACATTTTTTCACAGAAATAGAAAAAATATTTTAAATTTATGTGGATCCACAAAAAACTCTGAATAGACAAATAACTTTGAGCAAAATAAGCAAAGCTAAAGGCATCACTTTATCAAACTTTAAAACTTGCTACAAAGCTATAGTAACCAAAAGAGCACTGTACTGGCATAAAAACAAACACATAGACTAATGTGCCCAAGAAGCCCAGAAGTTAGTTTATGCACCTAAAGCCAACTGATTGTCAACAAAATTGCCAAGAACACACTTTAGGGAAAAGCTAATTTCTTCAATAAATGATGCAGGGCCATTTAAATATTTAAATTCAGAAAAATTATACTAGACCCCTGTGCCTTGCCATATATGAAAATCAATTCAAACTAAAGACTTAAATGTAATGCTATCAATTATGAAACTATTAGAGAAAAACTAAAAAATGCTTTATAACATTCGACGGGGAAAGGATTATTAAAATAACATGTCAAAACATAGGCAACAAAATCAAAAATAAGCAAACAACATTATGTCAAACTAAAATGCTTTTCCATATTAAAAAAACTAAAAGATTGAAGAGACAGCTTAGGCAATAAAAGAAAATGCTTTCAGGCTATACATATGACAAAAGGCTAATATTCAGAATAAATAAGAAACTTTAAAATCTCAAAATAAAATACACTTATAATCTAATTAAAAAAATGCAAAAGATCTTAATAGATGTTTGTCAAAAAGTGATACAAAAATGGCTAACTGGAACATAAAAATATGTTCTACATTACTAATCACTAAGGAAATGAAAATCCAAACCACAATGAGGTACCGCCTCACTCCCATTTAGAATGGCTATAATAAAAATAAATAAATAAATAAAACAAGTACTAATGAGGATATAAAATGAGTGAATGTATACATTGTTGGTGGAATTGTAAATTAGTATGGCCACTATAGAAAATACTATGGAGGTTTCTGAAAGAAATTAAAAATAGATGTATTACATGATCCAGCAATTTTACTCCTGCATGTATATACAAAAGAAAGGATATCACTGTGTCAAAAAGATATTTGCATTTCCATGTTAGTTACAGAACTAGTTATAATAGCTTATATATGGAATCAATTCAAATGTACAGCAACAGATAAATGGATAAGGAAAATGTACTATATATGCACAGTGAAATACTATTCAGCTATAAGAAAGGATAAAATTCTGTCAGTTAAAAGAGCATGGATGAACCTTGAGCATACCATGTTAAGTAAAATAAGCCACATAGAGAAACACAAATACTTTATGATCTTATTATCTCACTCATTTGAGGAACCTGAAAAAAAGGGTTGATATAAGCAAAGAGTACAACAGGGGTTCCCAGAGACTGAAGCAGGGAGATGGGAAAAGGCAGCTTCAAAAGTATTGTGTTACAATTAGATAGGAGAAATAAGTTTTTGTTTTTTGTTACACAGCAGAATAATAATAATTAATGAAAAGTTATCTCAAATTACAAAATAGCTAAAAGAGACCAGTTGTGGTGGCACATTCCTGCCATCCATACATTTTGGGAGAATGAGGTAGGAGAATCACTTGATGTCAGAAGTTCAAGATGAGCCTGGACAACATAGTGTGACCCTGTCTCTATGAAAAATTAAAACATTATCCAGGCATGGAGGCAGGTTCCTGTAGTCTCAGCTAATTGGGAAGCTGAGGTTAGAAGATTGTTTGAGGTTACAGTGAGCTAGGATTGCACCACTGCACTCCAATCTGTGTGTTAGAGCAAGATCCTGTCTCTAAAAAAAGTTAATATATAAAGATATAAAAAAATAGCTAGAGAAGAAGCTTTTGAATGTTCTCACCACAAAAATAACAAATGTATGAGGCAATAATTACACTAAGTACTCTGATTTTTATTGCTATACAACATATATACATAATTGTTTCCCCAAAATTTGTACAATTACATGTGTCAATTTTAAAATATGAAGACTATAATGTAAAATCTATAGCTGTAAAATTCCTAGCACAATACAGAAGGGTGAAGCTTCATGACAATTGGTCTCGGCAATAATTTGGGGGATGTAACATCAACGAATCAGACAACAAAAGCAAGGGAATACACATGGTACTAAATCAGTGTGTGAAAAATATCCCAAACAGGCAAAGCAGAACATGGAATAGATATATGCACATTTATGTACACTGTAGCATTACTCACAAACATACTACCTGGAAGCAAATGTACCTTTAAGGATGAGTAGATTCAACAAACAGGGCACGTATATTCACTGGATAGCATTCAGCCTTAAAAATAAGGAAATCTTGAAAAGTACTACAATAAGGACAAATCTCGAAAACATTCTGTTAAGTAAAACAAGACAGTCAAAAAGGAAAACTGTATAATTACACCTATGTAAAATATTTAGTCAAACTCAAAGAAACCAAGTGTTGTAGTCTCAGCAGTGCACCAAGATGTAACAGTCTCTCATAGTCTGAGATAGCATCGAAAGTTCTTTGTTCTACTTCTAGGGAGATTAAGGAGCGTGAACACAAAGGTGAGGTTAGAGTGAAAGTTTGATAAGCAAGAGAAGAAAGCTCTTTGCCAGCAGAGATAGTTTCTGAATGGGGTGACCTCTGTGAGGCTGGGGCCCAAGGTTTTTATGGACTGGGAAAGGAAGAGAAGGAAATGTGCCTAGTTAACAGGCTGTCTTGAAAAAAGTGTGGCTCAGCTTGGCCCAGGACTTTGACCCGGGACCAATCAGGAGCTGAAGGGATGATTCATAGATGCTATTTAGATTGGCCCAGGACTTATCAGAAGCTAAAGTGAAAGCTTGGCGCAGGAGCTTGTCCCGGGAGCAATCAGGGGCTGAAGTAATTATTCACAGAGGTCTGACTTACAGTCCAAATAAAGGAGAGTGTCGACCGGAATGCACCAGAGCCCACTGTGCTTATGCCCACAAAAGGAGAAGAAACATTTTCCTGGGAGCCCACTGACTGCACAAAGTACAAAGGCGTTTCTTTTTTTCTTTTTCTTTTCTTTCTTTCTTTCATTTTTGTTTTTGAGATGTACTTTCTTATTATTTATTAATTTATTTATTTTGAGACGTAGTTTTGCTCTTGTTGCCCAGGCTGGAGTGCAATGGTGCGATCTCGGCCCACAGCAAACTCCGCCACCTGGGTTTAAGTGATTCTCCTGCCTCAGCCTCCCAAGTAGCTGGGATTACAGGCATGAGGCACCATGCCCGGCTAATTTTGTATTTTTCTCCATGTTGGTCATGCTGGTCTCGAACTCCCGACCTCAGGTGATCCGCCCACTTCTGCCTCCCAAATTGCTGGAATTACGGGCATGAGCCACTGTGCCTGGACAAACAAAGGCATTTCTATGCCAGGTCGGTCTTGTTCCCTTATCTCAGTGAGCTGGAGGTTTGTACAAGTTTTTATCCAAATATGCCAGAGGTTTTTCTGTCTGTGCAGCCATGGGCAGGTCTCCAAGCACAACACCATGTGCTAGTTACCTTGTTAGTGTCTGCAGCTTGATTTTTTCCAGGATTCCTTTTATATTATGCAGGGATGAGACACTGACCCAAGGGCCAGGGACTTTCCAGGGACCCTTCTCTTGCTATCTAACTAAAGCAAGCTAACTAACTTGTTTCAGAATTAATGAGTATTCACTTTTACTTTTGTAAGACAAAAATTATCTAAAACCTATTGCAAAAAAAAATAGAACTATACTTACCACTTCTAAACCATATACTTAAAATGTTAGAAATGAAAATGGCATGTTTTTAACTACAATTAGAAATTTAGGACTACCTAAAAGGCACGGTTACAAAATCTTCAAACATCCCCTTCAAATAACAAAGGGTTCTTCTCACTTAATTATTTAGATTTAAACTATAAGTTGATTGTAAATTTAAGATTATTTCCCTGACTACTCACCAAGATAGAATAAAATAATCACTAGAAACCAAGAAAAGAGGGAAATTTATAGCACTAATGTCCACATCAAAAAGCTAGAAAGGGCCGGTCATGGTGGCTCATGCCTGTAATTCCAGCACTTTGGGAGGCTGGGGTAGGCAGATCACTTGAGACCAGGTGTTCAGGACCAGCCTGGCCAACAGCAAAACCATATCTCTACAAAAAAATACAAAAATTAGCTAGGTGTGGTGATTCACATCTGTAATCCCAGCTACTCAGGAGGCTGAGACAGCAGAAGTGACTTAAAACCGAGAAGTGGAGGTTGCAGTGAGCCGAGATTATGCCACTGTACTCCAGCCTGGGTGACAGAGTGAAACTCTCCCACAAGAAAAAAAAAAATTAGAAAGATCTAAAGTTAACAGCCTAACATCTTGGTTAAAAGAACAAGAAAACCAAGTGAAAACAAACCTGAAAGCTAGCAGAAGATAAGAAATAGCCAAGATCAGAGTAGAGCTGAAGGAGATAGAGACACTGAGAACTCTTCCAAAAAAAAAAAAAAAAACTCAACCAATCCAGGAGCTGTTTTTATGAAAAAAAAAAAAATTTATAAACTAGATGGAACACTAGTTAGGCAAATAAATAAGAAAAGAAAGAACCAAACACAAATAGAAATAATAAGGGAGATATCATCACTGATCCCATGGAAATAAGAACAACGATCAGAGAATACTATAAACACCTCTATGCTCATAAACCAGAAAATCTAGAAGAAATGGACAATTTCCTTGCAAAATAAACTCTCTACAAGACTGAACCCTGAATAGATCAATAATGTGTTCTGAAATTGAGACAGTAAGAACTAGCCTACCAAGCAAGCTGAATTTGACTTGAGGTAAAGAGGAGATAGTACATTTTCTCCTAAAACTATCCAAAAAAAATTGAAGACAAAGAAGTTCTGTCTAACTCATTCTATCAGGCCAGCATCATCCTGATACCAAAACCTAACATAGATACAACAACAACAACAACAACACATCATGCCAATGTCTTTGATGAACACTGTGCAAACATCCTCAATAAAATACTGGCAAACCAAACCCAGCAGCACATTAAAAAGTGCATCCACCACAATGGAATTGGCTTTGTCTCCAGGATGCAAGGTTGATTCAACATATGCAAATCAACAAATGTGACTCATCACATAAAGAAAACTAAATAAAAAAACCACATGATTACCTCAATAGATGCAGAAAAAGCACCCAATAAAATTCAACATTCCTTCACGTTTAAAATTCTCAATAAATTAGGAACTGAAGAAACATACCTCAAAATAAGAAGAGCCATATACAACAAACCCACAGCCAATATCATACTGAATATGCAAAAGCTGGAAACATTCCCCCTGAAAACCGGCACAAGAAAAGTATGCTCTCTCTCACCACTCGCATTACAACTCCCATTCGGAAAACTTGTCCAGGAAAATCAGGCCAGAGGAAGAAATAAACAGTATTCAAATAGAAAGAGAGAAAGTCAAATTATCTTTGTTTACAGATGACCTGACCCTATATCTAGAAAGCCTCTTCGTCTCAGCCCCAAAGCTTCTTAAGGTGATAAGCAGCAGTAGCAAAATCTCAGGATATAAAATCAATCTGCAAAAGTAGCTAGCATTCCCATACACAAGCAACAGGCAAGCAGGGAGACAAATCATGAATGAACTTTCATTCACATTTGCTATAAAGAGAAAAAAATACCAAGGAATACAGCTAAGAAGGAAAGTGAAGGATATCTTCAAGGAGAACTACAAACAACTACTCAGAGGAATCAGAGTGGACACAAAACAAATGGAGAAACATTCCATGCTCACGGAGAGAAAGAATCAGTACCACGAATATGAGCATATTGCCCTAAGTAATTTATAGATTCAATGCTGTTCCCATTGAACTACTGACATTCTTCAGATAATTAGAAAAAAAAAACTTTTTAAAATTAAAATGGAACCAAAAAAGAGCCCAAATAGCCAAGCCAACCTTAAGAAAAAAAAAAAAAAAAAAGCTGAAAGGGTCATTGCCTAACTTCAAACTGTACTAGAAGAGTACAGTAACAAAAACAGCATGGTACTGGTATAGAAACAGACACATAGACAAATGAAACAAAATAGAGAGCATAGAAATAAAGCCAAAAACCTACAACAAACTGATCTTTGACAAAGTCAACAAAAACAAGGAATTAGGGAAAAGTCTCCCTATTCAATAAATAGTGCTAGGATAACTGGCTAGTCATGTGCAGAGAATTAAGACTGGAACCCTTCCTAACACCATAGACAAAAATTGACTCAAGATGGATTAAAGACTTGAATGTAAAACCCAAAACTATAAAAACCTTAGAAGAAAAAATCTAGAAAATACCATTCAGGATATAGTCATGAGGAAAGATTTGATGACAAAAAGACCAAAAGAAATAGCAACAAAAGCAAAAATTGACTAATGGGGTCTAATTAAACTAAAGAGATTCCACAGAGCCAAAGAAGCTATCATCAGAGCAGAGAAGCTAGAGAATGGGAGAAAAATTTTGCAACCTATTCATCTGACAAATATCTAATACCCAGAATCTATGAGGGACTTAAAATTTACAAGAGAAAAACAAACAACCCCATTAAAAAGTGGTCAAAGGACATGAACAGACATATCTCAAAAGAAGACATACATGTGCCCAACAAACATGGAAAGCTCAACATCACTGATAACTGGATAAATACACATCAAAACAACAATGAGATACCATCTCACACCAATTACAATGTCTATTAATAAAAAGTAAAAAAGAAATAAAAACAGATGCTGGTGAGGTTGTGGAGAAAAGGGAACACTTTTACACTGTTGGTGGGATTGTAAATTATTTCAAGCATTGTGGAAGAGAGTGTGGAGATTCCTCAAAGACCTAGAAGCAGAAATACCATTTGACCCAGCAATACTATTACTGGGCATACACCCAAAGGAATATAAATCTATTTTAAATAAACATGTATACATATGTTCATTGCAGCAATATTTACAATAGCAACGTCATGTAATCAATCTACATGCCCATCAATGATATACTGGATAAAGAAAATGTGGTACACATACACCATGGAACACTATGAAGCCATAAAATGTAATGAGATGATGTCCTTTGCAGGGACATGGTTGGAATTTGAAGCCATTACTCCCAGCAAACTAATGCAGGAACAGAAAACCAAACACCACCTATTATTATTCTAACTTATTAGCAGAAGCAGATCAATGAGAACACATGGACACATCAGGAAGAACAACACACACTGGACACCTGTTTCATGGCATGGGGGAGGGGAAGGAGAGCAGCAGGAAGAATAGCTGCGGATGCTGGGCTTAGTACCTGGGTGATGAGATGATCTGTGCAGTAAAGCACAATGGCACACGTTTATCTATGTAAGAGACCTGCATATCCTGCACATGGACCCCTAAACTTAAAATAAAAGTTGAAAAAAAAGCTTATCACATATGGACCACTGAACTTAAAATAAAACTTGAAAAAACATGAGTATGAGGTGGATTCCCTAGGTTAGACCCAAACTGAAGATCCTGAAGCTCCTGCTGGGGGATTTGGGGCTGGGGGCACCCTGGGGAGCTGCTGCCAAGGCCATCCACCGTCCCTACAGGCCGCCTCTCTTCCCGGCCTGTGATGGAAAGGAGAAGGGGTATGTGAACAGCTGTGGAAGTCAGACTCTCGGGAACTGAATCAGGCCCCAGCCCATGCCCCCCAGCCCAGTCCAGCCAACGTGCCCGCTGTCTTCCCACCCAGCCAGCCGAGCCCTCAGGATTGTTAGATGGAACCAGGCTCCATCACCACCCAGGCATGGAGGGAAGATGCCCTGGTCCTTAGCAAGCAAGGCCTGGTTTCCAAAGTGCTCTCCGAAGAGGCCTCATGTTTGTGACATCTTAGAAGGTACCTTTCTGCTGTTCTTGCACCCAGCATGTTGGCAAGTCAAGTTCCCCCACTGAGTTCTCCACACATAAGGAGGGAGTCAACACCATTGCTAAGTCGGATCAGCTCAAGTGTCTCCAGTATCAGTTTTATCAGATCCCAGGGACCTGCCTGCTCCCAGAGGTGACAGAGAAAAATCAAGGAACGATCTGTATGGTCACTGACATGGATGAAACCCTTGTGCATAGCTCCATTAAGCCAATCAGCAATGCTGACTGCCTAGTGACTGTAAAGATTGAGGGGACCATGAGGCCTTATATGGATGAGTTCCTGAGATGACTGGAGGAACTGTTTAAATGTGTTTTCTTCATTGCTCTCTTCATTCCAGACTGAACAAGTATGCAGATCCTGTTGAGAGGTGACAGCGTGCTGGCAGTCCTCACAACCCTTGCTCACTCTCCGGGCCTCCTCTGCCTGGGCTCCAACTTTGGCGGCACTTTAGGAGCCCTTCAGCCTGTCGCTGCACTGTGGGAGCCCCTTTCTGGGCTGGCCAAGGTCGGAGCCGGCTCCCTCAGCTTGCGACGAGGTGTGGAGGGAGAGGTGCGTGTGGGAACCAGGGCGGCGTGCAGTGCTTGAAGGCCAGCGCGAGCTCGGCGGACCCCACACTCGGAGCCGCCGGCTGGCCCCACCGGCCCCAGGCAGTGAGGGGCTTAACACCTCGGCCAGCAGCTGCTGTGCTCAATTTGTCGCTGGGCCTTAGCTGCCATCCCACAGGGCAGGGCTTGGGTCCTGCAGCCCGCCATGCCTGAGCCTCCCCCCCATCGGTGGGCTCCTGTGTGCCCAAGCCTCCTGGATGAGTGTCGCCCCCTGCTCCACGGCACCCAGTCCCATCAACCACCCAAGGGCTGAGAAGTGCGGGTGCACAGTGCCAGACTGGCAGGCAGCTACACCTGCAGACCCTGTGGGGGATCCACTGGGTGAAGCCAGCTGGGCTCCTGAGTCTGGTAGGGACGTGGAGAAACTTTGTGTCTAGCTCAGGGATTGTAAATACACCAATCGGCACTCTGTATCTAGCTCAAGGTTTGTAAACATGCCAATCAGCACCCTGTGTCTAGCTCAGGGTTTGTGAATGCACCAATCAACACTCTGTATCTAGCTACACTGGTGGGGATGTGGAGAACCTTTGTGTCTAGCTCAGGGATTGTAAACACACCAATCAGCGCCCTGTGAAAAAAGACCACTCGGCTCTAACAATCAGCAAGATGTGGGTGGGGCCAGATAAGGGAATAAAAGTAGGCTGCCCCAGCCAGCAGTGGCAACCCACTCGGGTCCCCTTCCACACTGTGGAAGCTTTGTTCTTTTGCTCTTTGCAATAAATATTGCTGCTGCTCACTCTTTGGGTCCACAATGCCTTTATGAGCTGTAACACTCACTGTGAAGGTCCACAACTTCACTCCTGAAGCCAGCGAGACCACGAACCCACCTGGAGGAATGAACAACTCCAGATGTGCCACCTTAAGAGCTGTAACACTCACCGCGAACGTCTGCAGCTTCACTCCTGAGCCAGCGAGACCACGAGCCCACCAGAGGGAAGAAACTCTCAACACATCCGAATGTCAGAAGGAACAAACTCCAGACATGCCACCTTTAAGAACTGTAACACTCACCGTGAGGGTCTGTGGCTTCATTCTTGAAGTCAGTGAGAACAAGAACCCACCAATTCCAGACACATTGTGATGGGTGTGCTGGACCAGTGTGAGGTGTTCTGGGGTTGCCTAGCCCATGAGTCACGTTTGTTCCACCAGGGCTGCTATGTCAATGACCTCAGCCATCTGGGGAGGGACCTGAGGAAAACTCTCATCCTGGACAACTCGCCTGCTTCTTACGTCTTCCACACAGAGAATGCAGTGCCTGTGCAGTCCTGGTTTGATAACATTCCAGACAGCAGCTGCTGCACCTGATATCAGTCTTTGAGGACATGAGTGGAGCAGAGGGCATCTATACTAGCCTTGGGCAGCAGTGGGCCCTTAGCCTTTCCTGCTTCCCAGCAATGGCCATCACAGTAGGGGATTTTCCCACACTGTGCCTTTATGATCAGCCTGAAAGAATGAAGCCTGGAACACCTACCCACATGGGCCTGGAAACAGTGAGAAGTGATTGAAAAGAGCTTTAGGACAGCTTAGATTCCCAGTGGGTGAATGCCAGACCAAGGATACCCAGAGCTACCTGCCATCAAGTTTTTGGGTTCCCAAGATTGGGTGTGAGAGAAAGAAAGAGAGCATGTGTGTTTTGTGATGAACTGTGGGCCCAATATATAGTGTTTCAGTAGGGGAGAAGCTGAAGGACAGAGACTCTTCCCAAGTTAGCTTTGTCTCCTCTCCTGTCACCCTATGAGACCCTGAGTTCCATAGGGATGAAGACTGTTGAAGGCTCCATTGCAAACCTGGTCTTTCTTCAGTGCTGCAAGGCCTATGCCAAGGAGAAAGGAAAAGTATGTCTTTGGGTGTTCCAGACACACATCTTTCTGAAATATTTCTCCAGCCAGTTGTTGCAGACAAAAGATGATATTTCTGGGAAGATGGGGACTTATGTCCAGACCAGTACCCAAACCATCAGGTCTTGTGGCCTAAAGGCTATGCTTACTTAAGTCCAGCCAAGTGCCTGGGATGGATCCTTTCTGCATCTCCTCAAGACTCACCACTTAGGCATAGCCTCAAACCTGTGGGGAAGGAAGTTGTCTCCCCACCCTGCAAGAGGACAAATAACTGATTTCTCTTCTTTCGACTCTGTTTTAAAATTCTCTTAAAAAAAAAAAAGCCTATCTGAAACTGAAAAGAAAAAAACAAAAAAACAAGGAAAAAGATGTCATACTTACATAAGTGAAAAACATACAGATATATCTATAAGCAACAAACACAGCTAATTCACACATATATTAAACATCACATTGAGATAAAGTGTACCGAGCTAAAAATTATCTTTCAACTGATGATATCAAGCTTTAAAATAAAAATACATTTAACTGATCTGAGAAAACATAACTCCCAAGAAAAGAAACACAATAACACGGACTTGAAAATAAGAAGAGAGATTTTCGTGCATAAAATCCTGAATACAACATAGATTTACAATGGAAAATAACCGTTTTTTTTTTTATTTTTTTTTTTGAGACAGAGTCTTGCCCTGTTGCCCAGGCTGGAGTGCAGTGGCGCGATCTCGGCTCACTGCAAACTCTGTCCACTGAGTTCACGCCATTCTCCTGCCTCAGCCTCCTGAGTAGCTGGGGATACAGGCGCCTGCCACTATGCCCGGCTAATTTTTTGTATATTTAGTAGAGACGGGGTTTCACCATGTTAGTCAGGGTTGTCTCGATCTCCTGACCTCGTGATCCACCCGCCTTGGCCTCCCAAGGTGCTGGGAATACAGGCATGAGCCACCACAACCGGCCGAAAAATAATTCTTTAGATATCTACAGCATTCAACTGTGTGCACTCATGAAAAGCAGACAATTTAAGTCATTAGAATTTAATAAATTGCAGTAAAATTATATAGAAAATACATTACAATCATTAATAACAGGCTCTAATGAGAGGAATTTAATAAATAATCATTAAAAATACAGGATAATTTTATTATGTTCTCAATATGTTGCTGCACTTCTTACCACAAAACATAATAAAATTATATGACTATAATATAGATTTCAAGAGCTAAAAAAGCCTTATATTTCCAAATAAAAGAACAACATAAATTTTGCAAAATATGACGAGCATTACTGCAGTATAAAGTAAATATCTGGAATTAAAATATACCATCATTTAGATACAGACTAAAAAAAAGAATATAAATGTTAATGATTCCTTTCTGCCTGCAGTGAGCTTAAAATTACAACCAAAAATTTTAATAAATATGTAGCACCTACAAGACATTTTATTAATAGCTTACATAATGTGGAAATTTGAGCAATTTATTTTAGAATTTTTGAATCTAAAAATCACCAGCTTGACATTCATTTGAGAAAGTGAAACATAAAGGAGAGTAACATAAGCAAGACGACAGAATGGGAGGTTCGGCATGCACATCCCCCACAACATAATGCAGCTGCCACGGGAAACATAAGTGCATTCATGAAAGCCTTAGAATCCAGTTCAGAGTTTGTGACACCCAGCTGGAGGCAAAGACCAAGGAAGACATCTTTAGAGGGTAAGCACTTGACCAAGTGGCAAGCTTGCCAATCATGGTCCTCGGTTCAAAACAGAATACTACCACATCTTACTGTAAACTTGGCTATGACTCATTTGAACTTGGTCCTGCCACTGCAAAAATCTGTGAAAAACACAAAAGAATTCATACTCATCTGAGACTTAGGTGACAGGCCTGCAGAACTTGGTTCTCTCTATAGTCCCTGAATCAGGCAAAACACACCTTCTTTCCTTCTCCAGCCAAGGTCTGGAAGAAATCTTCACATTGATATGATGAAATGCTAACTAACAATATGAAAAATACTAAAGTATAAATGTCACTAAAAATGGTAAATACATACTGAAATTCAGAATACTCTAAATTGTTATCATCTTAAACTAGACTATTAAAATACAAGAGGTTTTACATAAGTCTCATGATAACCACTGGGGGAAAAAAAAACATAGTAAAGAAAAAGAGAAAGTAATTAAAGCATACACAAACAACAAAAATTACACATTGGATACAGTGGCTCCTGCTTATAATTCCAACACTTTTGGAGGCCAAGGTGGAAGAATCATAAGCTCCTTGGGTGTTGTGGTACGTGTCCAAGTAGTCCAAGCTACTTGGGTGGCTAAGGGGGGAGGATTGCTTGAGCCCAGGAGATTGAGGCTACAGTGAGCTGTGATATGCCACTGAACTTCAGTCTGAGCAAGAAAGCATAACTTTGTCTCAACAAAAATGAACAATACCACAGGAAAGACAGAACCAGAAAAAAAAGAAGCAAACTTAAAATGGACAGAAAACTACAAATGTACAATAGTAACTGCTTACCTATCACTACCTTACAAATAAAAAGATTAAATTATCTACTAAACAGATACTTCTGTAGACTGAATGTCATCTCCAAAATTTAGGATAAAATAGCCAATGTGATAGAATTAAGAGGTGGAACCTTTAAAAATTAATTAAGCTATAAGCACTCTGCCCTCATGAATGGATTAATGTTCTTATTATGGGAATGGGCTAATTTTAACAAGAATGGATCTGTTATATATTAAAAAAAAAAAAAGCTCTCTCTCCCTCACATCTTTGGCCATGTTATTATCCAGCAACTAGACCTTCAACAGATACCAGTAACATGTTCTTTTACCTTCCCAGACTCCAGAATCATGAGTCAAATAAAATTCTTTTCTTTATTAATTACCAGTCTGTGATATTCTGTTATAACAGTCAAAAGAGACTAAAGCAGATAGAGTGGATAAATGAAACTTTTAAACCTCGTAATCTGCTGCTTACAAGAGACTCAATTATGAATTAAGAGCATAGGCTAAAAGTGAAAGGATAGAAAATGATATTCCATGCAAATAATAGCCAAAGGAGTCCAATGGTAGTTATGCTTAAATTAGACAAAATAGACTTTCTAGCAATGTCTCTCACAAGCATGAAATGAGTTTACCATACAATAATAATAGAGGTTAATTTGTCAAGTGAATATAGCTATATATATTTATGCACCCAAAAGGGAGGCTTCTAAATATAAAAAGAAAATACGGGCAGAACTGTAGGGAGAAGTAGAAAGAAATCCAATAATAGAAAACTTTAATGAAATGTATAATAAAGGACAAATAGTTAACAGCATTGTAAATTGGCAAGGGAAAGCTGTTCTCCTGTGTTGCATTTGAGAATGCAGCAAAGAAAGTGGGAACTGATAATTTTACCGCAAGCCTGAGTTAGGCTGAAAAACAGGGTGGTCGATTAGAGGTTCCACTTGCCATATAGTAAAAAAAACACAGGAGAAAACCAGTCCTCCTCTGGAGAGTTAAAATAATTAAAGAGCAGAAAATTAGACTAAAGTGGCTCTAGTGTCCTGGGTTCATAGGTTAAAAAAAAAAAAAAAAAAACTAAAACCTAACTCAAATACATTTCCTATAAACCATTATCTTAGCCTGAAACAAAATGCACGTTTAACCAATGGCAAACATGCAATTAACCTCTGAATATGTAACCAGGACATTTCCATCTGGATAGTTCAAATAAGGTGACTACATAACTGGAACCAATTTTTGAATTTGGGCTGCTTTCTCATGCATCTTATGAAAGCCTTTCCTTTATGCCCCTCTGGTGGACCAGAAATCATGGCTGGGTGCTTTCCATTTCACCAATCACTCTTTGTTCAGATAAACTGGTTAACGTTTTAACATAGACTCCCCTTAATTTTTAACAAGAGAGACTGGGGACCCCATGGGCCGCAGCTCCTCCCACGCAAACACCCAGTGGCAGTTTTTCCCTGATGACCCACCAGGCCTCCCTGAACAATCTGGGAAATACTCATGGCTGTGGGCGCAGAGCAGGGCGCTGCCCAGGGACAGGACCGGATGGGCCAGGCCGGATGTGGGGGTCCTCGATGCTGGCCCAGCGGCCATCTTGCAGCCACAGGGGACTGAGGGCCAAGCTGCGGGAGACTCGGAGCTAACCGTGGGGAGGCCGGTCCTGCCGGTTTCACAGCCTGCTCTCCCCTCTCGGGATGCCGAACCCCGTATACTCACCATTTCCCAGCTTCCAGGATGTCCTGTCATCTTAACTGTGCGTCCCCAAGGACCTACAGATCACAGGGCAACAGGGGCTGTGAAAGAGTAGCCCGGGGCTCCCAAAGTGGAGGAGGCGAAAGAGGAGACGGATCCCAAGTTCCTGTGCCAGCGCCAGCGAGAGACAAAGACCCCGCCAAACGCCGGAAGCCACGCCCTCCTCTCCTGTCCTCTCCAACTGCGCGCCTGATTGGGCGGTTCCCACATCAGTGTCAATGATTGGATAAAACTCCAGGACTCACCCACCCCCGCCTGACTCCTGCCCCTACCCCCACTCCCCCTCAGCCTTAGTGCATTTTTGTTAGTTTGTTTTACTTTAAGTTCTGGAATACATGTGCAGAACGTGCAGGTTTGTTACATAGTTTTACATGTGCCATGGTGGTTTGCTGCTTCTATCAACCTGACGTCTAGGATTTAAGCCCCATATGCATTACGTATTTGTCCTAATTTTCTCCCTCCCCTTGACCTCAACACCCTAACAGGCCCCAGTGTGTGATGTTTTGTTCCCGGTGTCCATGTGTTCTCATTGTTCAACTCCCACATATGAGTGAGAACATATGGTGTTTTGTTTCGTGTTCCCGTGTTAGTTTGCTGAAGAGAATGGTTTCCAGCGTCATTCACGTCCCTGCAAAGGACATGAACTCATTCTTTTTATGGCTGAATATTATTTCATGGTGTATATGTGCCACATTTTCTTTTTCCAGTCTATCAATAATGGGCATTAAGTTGGTTCCAAGTCTTTGTTATTGTAAACAGTGTTGCAATAGATATATGAGTGCATGTGTCTTTATGCTAGAATGATTTATATTCCTTTGGGTATATACCCAGTAATAAGATTGCTGGGTCAAATGGTATTTCTGGTTCTAGATACTTAGGGAATCACCACACTGTCTTCCATAATGGTTGAAGTAATTTACACCCCCGCCCCCAGCAGTGTAAAAGCGTTTCTATTTCTCCACAGCCTCACCAGCATCTGTTGTTCCTGACATTTTAATAACTGCCATTCCAAATGGTGTGAGATGGTATCCCATTGTGGTTTTGATTTGCATTTCTCTAATCATCAGTGATGATGAGCTTTTTTCTTTTTCCTTTTTGTGTGTTTCTTGACCACATAAATGTCCTCCTCCTCTTCTTCTTCTTCTTCTTCTTCTTCTTCTTCTTCTTCTTCTTCTTCTTCTTCTTCCTTCTTCTTCTTCTTCTTCTTCTTCTTCTCCTTCTCCCTTTTCTTTTTATTTATTTTATTTATTATTATTTTTAAGACGGAATCTTGCTCTGTCACCCAGGCTGGAGTGCAGTGGCAGGATCTCAGCTCACTGCAACATCTGCCACCCAGGTTCAAGTGATTCTCCTGCCTTATCCTCCCAAGAAGCTGGAATTGCAGCCACCCGCCAAAACACCATGCTAATTTTTTGTGTTTTTAGTAGAGACATGGTTTCACCATGTTGCCCAGGCTAGTCTTGAATACCTGACCTCATGATCCACCTGCCTCCATGGCTGAAAGTCCTGGGATTACAGGCTTGATCAACCACGCCCAGCCAAATGTCTTCTTTTGAGAATAGTCTGTTCATATTCTTTACTCACTTTTTGATGTTTTTTTTTGTGTTTGTGTGTGAATTTAAGTTCCTTGTAGATTCTGGATATTAGACCTCTGACACATGGATAGAGTGCAAAAATTTTCTGTCATTCTATAGGTTGCCTGGTCACTCTGATGATAGATTCTTTTGCTGTGCAGAAGCTCGTTAGTTTAATTAGATCTCATTTGTCAATTTTAGCTTTTGTTGTGATTGCTTTTGGTATTTTATTCCTGAAGTCTTTGCTCATGCCTATGTCCTGAATGGTATTGCCTAGGTTTTCTTCTAGGGTTTTTGTGGTTTGGTGTTTTATATTTAAGACTTTAATCCATCTTGAGATAATGTTTGTATAAGGTGTAAGGAAGGGGTCCAGTTTCTGTTTTCTGAATGTGGCTAGCCAGTTCTTTCAGCACCATTTGGTAAGTAGGAAATCTTTCTCCATTGCTTGTTTTTGTCAGGTTTGTTAGAGATAAGATGGTTGTAGATGTGTGATGTTATTACTGAGGCCTCTGTTCTGTTCCATTGGTCTATATATCTGTTTTGGTATCAGTACTGTGCTGTTTTGGTTACTGCAGCCTTGTAGTATAGTTTGAAGTCGGGTAGCAGGATGCCTCAAGCTTTGGTGTTTTTGTTTAGGATTGTTTTGGGTTGACAGGCAAACAGGCTCGTATAGTTGGGGTCACATGCCCAGAGTATCACAGCTAATTAAGACGTGAGCTGAGACTTGAAATGCACATGCTCCTTCCCTTACCTGGGTCTGTTGTATAATGCATCTTAGCAGCTATTTAACAGTAGGAATTAGAACATTTGGACATCTTTTTAACAACTTTTTAACCTGCATTTTGATAATGCAGGAAAGACCTCCATCCCATCCCTGAGCCCCTCTGTCACCACGCTACATCCCACTGCTGACCACATTGTAGGGTGGCCATTAGGAATCAGGTGGGCAGCGGGGGCCGGGAATAAATAAGCAAGGATTATGCTGCCCAAATTTGCTCATCTTAGAAAGTCTCCTCAACCATTCTGTGTGAAGTGATTATTCCAGGGTAATTGTGGCCTGACTGCGCTGCATGTCAGTCTGACTTGTCTTTTTGAAAATCACTGGATTACTCTCATGAACGGGGGTATTTCTCTTTCTATTTGAAAACGGCCAACTGTCCTCTGCAGGTGTCCTGATTTGCTAGTTGAGACCCTGAAGGTAGTGGTGAGAAAATATTTGGGCCACATCAGAATACCTATTCTCAGCTGGAAGATATATAGAAATTTCTTAATAATATCTAACCATTTTCTCAATAACCATTATATTTAACATTGATAGCTTGGAGGGCAGGGAAGGACACAGATGACATAATCTTAAAATTTAATTTGTTTATAAGGTTTTTTTTTGTTCTTGTTTAGTTTTGCTTAGTTTTTGGATACAAGGTCTTGCTCTGGTGCCCAGGCTGGAGGGCAGTGGTATAATCATAACTCATAATTTGGTTGTAACGGTTCTTTAAAATATATTTTTGCTGAGAGTGGTAGCTCAGACCTGTAATCTAAACACTTTGGGTGGCCAAGGTGGGATGATCGCTTGATCCCAGGAGTTCAAGACGTGTCTGGGCAACATAAGTAGGCTCAGTCTCTAGAAAAATATTTAAAAATTGCCTGGGCGTAGCTTTGCATGCCTGTAGTCCCAGCTACTTGAGAGGCTGAGGTGAAAGCATCACTGGAGCCTAAGAGTTTGAGGCTGAAGTGAACCAAGATTCAGCCCATGCACTGACAGAGTGTGACGTGTGTGTGTGTGTATAAAAATTTGTATGTGAAAAAAATTCAAGCACAGGAGAAAAGTGAAAGCCCATGGTGGGGGATGTGGAGAAAGGTGACTATGGCTCCAGCAACTCAGTGAGACTTGGTTTTCCATCTTGAAGAATTGCCCATCCACACTGATACCATAGCCCAACAAATGCCCCTTCTTACATTCCACCTGCTGGGATACCAGTATGTAGCCTTTTGAAAAAAATAAAATCTTTCACCTAAGAGAAGGACAAGAGAAAACGAGGGTGTCACATCTAAAGCCTCCATTTTCTTTATGAATCAGCAGCCACTTGTCATTTCAATTGTCCAGAGGCGACTGACAGCACTAATACACTTAATGAATCAACCAGGGAAAATGGGCCTCTCAGGTGAGGAGGAGGCACAATGGTCACAAAACCCAATCCGTTCTCAGCTTTGCATGGTGCTCGCATCTCAAGAAGTGGTGTTAGCCATGTGAACCGTGTTCACTGGACAAGGCCAGAGGAAAGAATATTTAGTACAACACAACTATGGGGCTGCAAATCAAACTGGTAGTGAGAGCGTGCATGAGGCTTCAGTGGCCGAGACACTGGTGGCTACCCTTCGGTGTCACTTAAACCTTTGAGGTGAAGGACGTTTTTTTTCCCAATTGGCTCAGAGAAACTAATCAACATTAAAATTGAGATTTGTTTTTCTTTTCAAAATTTCTAAGACACAGAGGACTCTAACACTCCAAAAGACATTCAGATATTCGTGCAGCTGAGGACTTGCCTGCTCTGTAGAGGGATGGCAGAGCAGCAGCCACCAGCTTTAAGAGCTTTAAGCTCCTCCTCTTATAGGGACAGGCCACCCCCACACAACCCCCCTAACTTCATAGGCTCTGGCTGTCAGGTGCACCTGGGGGACTGTCTTCCTCCCATCTCATTAGCTCTCCAAGACAGTCCAGCTCAATCTAAAACCTACCCTAAGAAGGCGGGATGTAGACTCTCCTCCATTCTCCCAGCGCAGTGTGACTTCTGGAGAGTGCTCCCCCATCGTCTTACCTCAAATGATGTGAAAAGAGCTGGTTCCCGGGTAGTTAGATGTTCAGTGACCTAACAGGCCCAGCATGCGCAGGGCCTGGCCCCACAGCGTGGCACCTCTCTCCTACCTGGCCTTCACTTCGGCCTTTTCTCTTCTGTCACCAATGTCAGGTGATGGTCACCAGTGCCACACTCTTATGAGCTTGGTAAGTAGCAGGGGTGTAAACCCCAACAGATTTCCTGTGACTCTACCCTCTTACCTCCCAATCAAGTGACATTATAAGCATAATTTTATATTTGATCTAATTTATGCATAACCTTTTAATAACATTTCTGACAACAGCCCACACAACCACATGAGTCTGGGCTACAGAACACACGGGAGAGGCTGGGGTAGCAGGTTTCACTTACTTTATTCCAATGTGAAATGAAGATTGATGATTTAAAAACAAGACAAAGTTGTTTATCAGCTGTGGGGTGGCTACACTTGCTAGCTCATGTTCACTTCCTTTGAAACAAGGTATCTGGACAGACCATATTCATAAGTAGGTCTTCGCAAAACCCCAGACAGAAGTTCCAGTCAGACACAGCTCCCTCAGGCTCACAGGGCGGCAACCGCCTCCATGTTAGGCTCTGACAGCAGGCAAGGGAAGAAGCACAGGCAGCAGGGGACAGGGAGGGTCCGGGACTGTAGGGATCCCCAAATGCCCCAGAGGTATTCTCTGTAGAAAGGCACACGCAGGTCTCACTGTGTCAGTGCAGTGGCTGAATCATGGGTCACTGCAGCCTCAATCTCTTAGGCTCCAGTGATGCTTTCACCTCAGCCTCTCAAGTAGCTGTGTGGCAAAAAGCCTCCTACTTTTTACTTAAAACCTGGACTTTAAGCCAGGTTGGGCCTGGGAATAGTGGCAGCAAAAGCAGCAGCCAAATGTATACACTCCAGATGTCTACACTCATGGGCACAGGCATATTCCACACTTGCTGGAGCACGAGAGGCCTGAGAGGCACCTGTTTCCCAGCTACTAACTGATGTCCACACACCCCATTCACGTGTCTTCATTTAGGTCTCTGCATCGTATATTTGCTCAGCCAGTGCAAACACATCTTCTGGGGGGCAACATTAATTGCAGCACCTGCCCCACTTGTTCTGGGAGGGAGTCAAGAGGAATCTGGTCAGCTCCTAATCCCCCAGGACAAAGGTGATGCCCTCTTTTCAGGACTTACATCCAGCAGCGTCATCTCCGGATGGGTTTTTCAAACACAAGCAGCATGAGGTAGCAAGCATGGTGTGACAGGCTCAGGGCCATGGGCAGCCGGCTGCTGGCGAAGCAGCACAGGGCAGGCACATCTGTGGGTGGCACCATGACAAGCCAAGACAGCCACAGCCCGTAATCCCAACAGCTCCAGCCCAGATGGCATTCAAATCTTCACGGATAGTATTGGGGTGCCCGATGCCGATCACTCGCCCTCTCATTAGCACGGCCTTGTTGGTTACTCAGGGACTAAGGAGAGAGAGTGGGGGATGTAGATCCAGGGTGGGCACCGCCTCACAGCCAGAGTCCACCTGACTGCAGGCCAGCAAGCAAGCCCAAGAAGCTCAGCTCTAGTCACCTCTGGTTGCACTTTTTATGTGTAATTTACACAAAGGCAGCAAAAGGAGGTCAACATTAGCTGTTGTGACATGAAAGTCTATGCCCCATTAAGACCTTAAAATGCTATTGTCTTAAGCTCTCTTTACTCTAATAAAATTTATACAAATAAACACATACAAGGTGAACTACTATAAAGGAAATATTAGGATTTTTTAAACCCATAAACAGACATGAAAACAGTCACTGTTTGATTGCAGAGAAAGTGAGCTTCTAAAGCAGCTGACCACAAAACAGCCTCACCAAACCCCAGGCAGGCCAGGCAGTCTGAACACTACAAGGCCACGTGATGGTCACAGAGGATGACAGCTCCCGTGAGTATTGCAAGGCACTGTGTCAGCTTCTCACTCACAGTCTCAGAATACCCTGTGAGGGGAGGCCCCATCTCACTAGAGCACAGGAGGTTCCTGAGCTCTTCCCAGAAAATGGTCATCAAACGATGGAGCAGGGGGAAGCCCAGACAGAACAAGTGAGTCCCTAGGGTCTCCTTAACCTCCCTCAGCTCCTCCACATGGGTCCCTGAGGGAAAGTGAGCAGTCTCCTAACCCCTTTGTTAGGGTTCCAGTCCTGCAGGTCTGGACTCTCTCATTTTATGCTACCATAGGGGATGACAATGCAACCCCAGGCTCCTTTTTTGCCATCCCTCAATGCCAGGCCAGGCCCAGAGCCGTTTGCTGACACAGCCCAGGGGATGCTCAAGGCCCACCTCGGCACAGTCACCTGTAGTGTACTGAGATGAGCAAGGAGGTGCAAGTAGACACAAATCCCCATGGGCTTGGCCTCAGCTATGTTCCACAGGCTCAGGGCCTCGCAGAAGAGCTCACAGCCCTCCTTCAGGAAGCCTGCAGATCACACCCTCAGGGAGCAGTGCTCAGATGAGCAGGCAGGCCCCACATCCCCCACCCCATGACGCTCTGTTCCACTTTGCAGGCTTCTGCATTGGCCAGTCCCCACTGCTTTCTGGTGAGATGTCCGAGTTGAAGTGAGTGTTGAATGCCACACAGCTGATGGAGCTCACTGCCTTGCACATGTTGTAAAACACCTCCTGGTTACAAGGGTCAGCTGTGGAGACACAGCTTGATGGGAGGTAGGCCCACTCCACCATCAGTAGTGCTGGGTTGCCCTGATCTGCACCTTCCAGATACTTGCTGAGATATCTGCATGCTTCTCTAAGGGACTGGGTCACGAGACACCCCTGGCAAGGACCAGCTGGCAGAACAGGCTGGACACTCTCCCTCAGCCTCCCCAGCAGCCCTGCCTGTGCAGTCATCTGTGCTGAAGATCTCCGTGGTAAGATTATGGGAAACTTTTACAGCAAGTTTTCCTTTCTCACTTCCCTATCTTAATAACAGCACTGATAACTTTTAAGCCCTAGAAAGCTGGAACTGCAAGACACATGATCTTCTGCCTTAGAAGGTCCATGTTTGGGCAGTGTGTGCCCAGGTGAGAGCCCCATGGTTGTTAGTGGAAGCCGGGAGCTGGATGGGCCTGGCCCCATAGCCTAGTGAAAAGTGGGACCCTCTCCTTCCAGAGCATGGAAGTCTCAGAGGCTGGAAAAAGGTGCCTGAGTGGCCTGCCAAAAAGCATAAGGCTAGAAGGGCTGGAAGGAACCCCAACAGTCTTCAAGGTGCCTGAGAGGGCTGGGCTCATTCCAGCTTTCTTTGCTTTCATCCTGATAGCAAGAAAACCTGCTCACACATGGCAGGCGGGCCTGAGGCTACCATTCCCTCATCAGGGGCTATAGGCACTTTAATGTGGCTCTTTCTTGAAGCAGCTGCTCAGGCCGGTTCTCGAAGAGAAGTTCCCTCATTATCCACAGGTCCTTGTTCCAGCCCCGTGTCTGCAGAGGGACTAGGGAGGGAGAAAATCTCTCAGCCTGTGCCCCACAACCTGCTCTGAGATATCTCTTTTGTTACTTCCTCACGGACAGCATCAAACTTCCAAATGAACAGACCAGCATGGAGCCTCCAGAAAAGTGCACAGAATTCTGTCTAGTACCCAGATGGAAGGGGGTTCCCAGTGAGGGCAGGGCCAGGCTGCATGCACCTCTTCAGGAATGTTCTCCTCATTGTCCAACTTCAAGGTGTGCATCCTCTGTGTGTATGCAGTCCATGGCAGGCTCTGCCTGGGGAACCGTCCAGCTGAACACCTGCAATGTGGTGGTGACCCTCTTGAATGAGTGGTTGTGGGCCCCATGGCAGTCATCAGAGAGGGAGATGCTTAGCCCACCAAGCCGAGAGCCCTGCCACAGCCTTCTGTGAGGCCTCCATCTGCTCTGGGTTCTTGCCCTGAAAGGCTGTCCTGAAGTCAAACAGAAGAAGGTGGGCCTCTCTTCCAGGGCTGCTCTTTATCCCACTGACAGCTCCCTAGAGGGCGACTAAGACAGCGGGGACAGATTCCTCAGGCAGAAGGACTGGAGTTTAGGCTGACGGGTTCATTCCATACCCCCACATGAGATGACACAAGGCAGGGGCTGTGGGACAAAGGCATTGCCTTTCCTTCTGGGATGAGGAATGGCATAGGAGACAGGGTATGGTGGGGCTGGGGTTGAGCGATGGGCTTCACTGAGTAAGTGTCCTGGTTATCTGTCCACAGACCCAGAACAAGTGGCATCCCAGGAGCCTGGGAGGGGCTGGCAGAGACTTACTGGTTCCAGCAAAAGCCCATGTGGATGCAGCAATGCTGCCTGCTGGTCCTTGGCTGTAATTACAAACAGGTACTTGAGGTCCCCATGCATCTTGCAGCTCTCAGAGAGTGTGTTCCAGCTGCTCATGGTAGGCACTTTTAGTCACTGAACGTGCTTCAGGAATGGCCAAGCTTGATTAAGCCAGGCGTCTTGCTGTGAGACCCTCCACCCAACTGAGGACCCTCTTCCTTGTTCCCCCTGGCAGTTTCACCTTCCAGTTCTGGTTCTAGAGACACGATGGCCCCTCTTGGGCCCCTGGGAGAATGTGCTCAGGTGACACACTGTCGACAGGGCCCATTTCCAAGCCATTCTTCCATTTCCCACTGTTTGAGGGGCTGAGGCCGGTGATCAGCACAGGGCCACCCAGGGCCAGCTGTCTGCACCTAAACATCATGCTGGTCTGGATGTCTCAGGGCCAGAACTCTCCAGGTGAGATGGCCTGGTCCTCAGCACCTGGCCTCCGTGCTCCTTTTTCCTCTGTTCAATCCTGGCCCCAATGCCTCCCGCAACTCTCAGGTCACCATTGGAGAAGATGCTCAGGAAGAACAAGAAGCTGCAGTCAACCCTGCTGAAGGTGGCATATGGGTCCAGGCTCTTGAGCTGGTCTTCGACATGGTACATGTGGATGCAGGCTTTGAGCAGTGTGAGTAGCTCTTTCCGGAAGGAGGGGAAAACGGTGTTTCCAGGGTCCTACACCCTAGAACGACCCATCTAGCACAGAAAACAGTTTGCAACGTGCTATCATGTGTGATTTTAATTTTCAACTTTAGGCTTTCATTTTCAATTTCCACAATAAACACATAAGGTGGGGTTCTGATTTCAACACACACACATTCTCTCTCTCTCCCTCTCTCTTAGAATCTTCCAGTGCGTTCACACTGAAAGCCAAAGTCCTCCCAGAATCTTGTGAGAACCTAAATGATCTGAATAGTTTGTCATTGATTTTGGGGATCTGGGAAAATCTCTGCACATTTCTGGAGACCGCTGTTATGCCAATTTTAATAAATCTGTTGTGCTTCAATTCAGAAGTGTGTGAAGGGAGTTGTGGAGGAATTGGCATTTGGGTTAGAAATTCCAGGAACACCAGAGACAGATGACACCTGTTTTCTGCTTCATAATGTCAAGTTTTACGATGGCTAAAACCTAATTCTACAAGAAAATTAGACTGAAAAACTTTATAGGCAAAAATTATCTTATTAAATAGGAAAATCTAAGTATTTTATTTTAAAATTTCCTTTTTCTTAGTAGGACCTAATCATAGAAATGTAAACTCTATATGCCAACAGCCTCTACTGTAGGATGGTTTATTGTATGTACTCATTTTACTGATTTCTTACAAAAACTTTTTCCGTAAGGGAAATTAGAATATTGTTCAACATATATTGAATTCACAATTATTACTTTATTTCTCACTTAGTATTTTATGATTCTGTCTTCTTTAATATGAAGATTACTATGACTGTGTTTTCACTTTCTGAATTATCATGTGTCACATTTGTCTGTAATTTCCTTTCAGAAGTTGTAAAATAGCATGCTCAAATGTATATATTATGTATAAATTATATAATTTATAATTTATTAAAATATTTGGCTTGTATGTTTAATTGACTCTAGGCACAATGTTACTATTAGCATCTTCTTCCAGTTTTCCCAACTTTTATTTGACTAATAGTACAATTTATTTCCAATTTTTATTTTATATGTCAATGTTTTATACTGTATTTACAATATTTATATTGTTACCATATTTAGAAATGTAAGACTTTTCAATTAAAAGCTAGATTACAGCCTTATCATTTTGTGTAAGAAAAGCAGCAATGCATCAGTAGCATAATTTAAAACTTTCTCTAGTATTACTTAAATGCTTATTCCTTAAAACTTTCTCATCACAGCTCTTTGTATTAATTATAATGTGTTTTCTCTGAAATGTTGTTGCCCTAACTGTATCCAAATAATTCAAAATTCATACTTTTCATAGATTCACAGGAAGAGTTAAAAATTGTAGTTACCTGGGATTCTTTTTCATTTGGACACTATGTTTATTCAGGATTTTATGGATTAAAGTTTCTCTTAATTATGTTTTATAATTTTATGTTTCTGTATTTTTTAGAGTAGGCTGTCTCACATCAGTTAATTGTGTTTTTACTTTCTACCTATTTATTATGATTTTGAATTTCATTATTCAAATAAGAATTTGGGGGTTAATGTTTATTTTAACTTTGTTTTGCAATTTTACATTTCTGTGTTTCATGTTTTAGGGTAGGGCACCTTATATTAGTTTATTGTTTTAAGTTTTAATTTGTATAATATAATATTGTATAACAATATTCAACTCTGTATGCATTAAGACAGTGTGGGGCAGAAGTCAAATATGAACCATCCCTATGTCTTTTGTTAATACAATGATTTAACTGTTTGTTTGCCTGTATAAATATTGCCCCTATTTTGTTTATGACTTTTATATTTTCTTCTTATTTGATGGCCAATAATTTATTCTGTCTAAGTGAGTAATCATGGAAATTGTCTTAATTTCAACATCTATTGTTTATATTATCTTAGTGTGAAGGAAAGATTTATGTGATTTGAAGATAATTTTTCAGAAACTTTGTAACTCTGTCCCTTCGGGTGTCTTTTTTTTTTTTTTTTTTTTCTTTTGACAGACTCTCACCCTGTTGCCAAAGTGCAGTGGCACAATCTTGGATCACTGCAACCTCCACCTCCCAGGTTAAAGCAATTCTCCAGCTGCTGCCTCTTGAGTAGCTGGCATTAAAGTTGTGCACCACCGCGCCTGGCTAATTTTTGTATTTTTCATGAAGCTGGGGTTTCACCATGTTGGCCAGGCTGGTCTTGAACTTATGGCCTCAAGTAACCTGCATGCCTCAGCCTCCCAGAGTGCTGCGATTACAGGCATGAGTGATCACTCTTGGCCCTTGGGTGTCATTTTTAATTTCGATTGTGGTAAAAATACATAACATAAAATTTAGAATCTTTAATATTTTTTCTTATACAGTTCAGTCATGTTAAGTGTATTTACATTGTTAAGCAACATATTTGTAAAATTTTTTCTTTTGCAAAACTAAAACTCAGTACACATGAAATGACAACTACCCATTGTCCTTACCACCTGGCTCCTGATAAAAATCATTCTATTTTCTGGTTCTAAGTTTCAATACTTTAGATATTACATATAAGTAGAATCATAGAGTATCTGTTTTATTGTGACTAATTTTACTTAGCATTATGTTCTCAAGATTCCTCTTTATTGTGGATGGTACAAGATTTTCTGCCTTTAAAAGCTAAGTAATATTCCATTAGTTTTATATTACAAATTTTATTTATTTATTCATTCTATGAGGAAAATTTGTGTTGCTTTCACCTATTGGCATTTCTGAATAATGCTGCAATGAATATTGGTATGCAAATAGCTATTTGCTCATATGTGTGAGGTTTACATGTGTGCTACCTTCTGTTTTATTGGAAAAATTGTCTGTGTTTATGCCAGAAACAAACTGTTTTCATTGCTGTTGCTTTGTAATGTGCTTTGAAATCAGAAAAGGTGAGGTCACTAACATTGTTTTTTTTAAACATTTTGGGGCTCTTTATGGTCGCTTGAGATTCCATATAATTTGTTGGTTCCTTTTTCTATTTCAAAAAAAAAGTTCTTAATTTAAAAGGGATTGCATTGAATCTGTAACTCGCTTTAGACATCATAAGCATTATTCATAATATTAAGTCTTACAACCCTTAAACATGAGCATGCTCAAAAGTGAGTTGTTTAATTTCCATATATATGTTGCTATTTTTGTTTTCTTCTGTTATTCATTTCTAGTTTTATTCCATTTTGATCAGAAATAATAGCCATTGAAAGGCTAAACCACTCTGGGAAGTGACCCCCATTATAGAACATTACAAAGAGATGTGAGGGCACCACTTCTGCCCTGATGGGCTACTGGGATGAGTTCTCTTAGATGACACATTGCAGACAAATGTAGGAAACAATATAACCCCTTTTTCATGTAAACTCTTCCCTATTTTTGTAGAGTATTAGTGATAGTGGTGGCTTTCAAGTCTTGGAGAAAGTCTGGCAGTACCATGAACCTGCTTGCTACAGATGATATCAGAGGGGAATAATTAAAACTATACAAACTGTAGTAACATGAATAAATGCAGCCTAGTGTAAAGTAAAAACAACACAAAGGCCTTCTCTGATATTTCTACAAGAATGTAAAAAGGGACTTTACACTTAACCAAGTTGCCACTGGGACCAGTTAAGGCTAGATTTTTGGGGGTAGATCTGAGGGTCACTCATGGAAATCCCCTAGGAGAAAGCGCAGAGAAATTCCATATTTGGGTCTGGATCCTGGACCCATCCTGGTTTTGTCAGGTCCCTCTCTGTAGAGAACCCCATGTGCCTGCTCTCAACATAACTCATTGTATGCCATGCTTGGGGGGTGTGGTGAACCTGCCAGTTGTCCAAGGAGATGGGGGACTTGAACCCATCAAATATCTGCTCACTGATTTTAATGCAGCTCTACAAAGAGTGTTCCCAGCAGCGAAAAAAGTTAATTGTCTTCTTTGTTTTTACCACCAGGTGACATCTGCATTAGAAATTCTGTTTCCTAGATCAGGAACATAGGAGTATCTGCATAGACCCCCAGCCAATGAGGAAACCCGAGGACAGCTTAAGGCCTTGGGATTCACATCTGAGTAGACGTACTTGGTCCGCAACTCACAACTTTTTATTCCACCAACCGTGACCTGGGTATGAACATGACAGACCCACCAGGGTTCCTGTGTCTTAAAACCTGCCCCTGTGAGGAAAAGCCCCTCCTTTCCTGCTCCCCTTGCAACACAGGGTAATGGTAGGCAGGGTCGGGTTGCCCAGATTAGATGACACAGGTGGCCTGGCATGGACGGACCTGCCCTGGGCTAAACTGTGTTACCTGTGGGTGCCTCTTGTCGAATGGCCAGTGGTATCAAGGATGTAGGCTGAGCCAGTATGTATACTGTCAGAAAAGGCTCTCACTTTGAGCCTTTCTCAGGCAACAGCTTGGGAATATAACACAATGAGAACACAGTGCCCTCTCAAGCATCTCCCAAGAAGTTAGCTAGATACAGGGCTGTCTCTAGAATGTGGGTTTCTGGTTCCCAAAGTTCTAAATTCTGTTAGGTTTTGTCACAAGGGAAGTCTGTTAACTTCTTCAAGGTTTTATCCCCTGAGCCCTTTTCCTCCATAAATCTACGCAAAGTCCCTGCTGGGCTGCTGATTGCTCACCCTCCTCTCCCATGTCAACTCTTTACCTGTAAACAGTTATGCAAACACAATTATGTCCCTTAATTCCCAAAAAGTTCTAAATGCAGCCAGGGCCCCAGGTTTGAGAGAACAGAGTTGGGTTAAAATCTTCTTTTCCTTTTCATTTCTGTGACCATATGAAAATGACTGTGTGCTTCAGGTCTCCCCAGCCCTGAAGTATGCATAATGGGATTATGCTAACATCAACTTCCAAAAACAGTCTTTGGTGATATATGAGATAGAATGAATCAAAATCGGTTGGATGCAGTGGCTCTTGCTGTAATCTTAGCAGATTGGTAGACCAAGGCAGCTGGAACACTTAAGGCCAGGGGTTTGAAACCAGCCATGGCCAGCATGGCAAAAACCCTTCTCTACGAAAAATCCAAAAATTAGCCAGATGTGTTGATGCATGCCTGTAATCCCAGCCACTCAGGAGGCTGAGGTGTAAGAATCACTTGAGCCCAGGAAGCAGAGATTACATTGAGCCATGATCCTGCCACTGCACTCCAGCCTGGGTGACAGAGCGAGACTGTGTCTCAAAAAATATATATATATATAATGTATATAAATATTTTTATTTATATATTATATATAACTATATATATATCAATTATATATAACTATATATAATATATAAACTTATACATATATATCTTTATATATAAAAGATACATAGTTTATGTATCTTTATACATAAAAGATATATATTTTATATATATGGCCTTAATTTTCCATTCCACAGCAGAAGAGGTTGAAATTAAAAGAAAATCAGATACTGTCTTCTGGCATTAAATATTCCAGTGCTGTGCATTATATTTAGAATCATATGTATATGCCTCATCTCAGCCTATGTGGTGGGCACCCCCAACAAAGTCTCACAACAACACTAAGTTGTGAGTGACTCTGTTATTTTAAAACGCAGCTCACCTCTCAGTGCCTCAGAAGCAGGTACTATAACACCGGGTTTCTAACAGAGAGATGGGATTCCAGCTCAAGTCTGTTTCCCTGTGCTTACTTAAAGGTAGTAATATTCTCAGAAAGGTTTAGGAGGTAGGTTCTGGATTAGTACGGAATTGCTTAAAGGAAAAATGTATGGAAAATCACTGGGCATGAACAACTATTTTTTCTTGCTACACACAGATCACATGTGCAAATTTGGGGACAGTTAGTACAAAACATGTGATGGAAATTTGGGCTCTGACATCAGTGAGCTTATTTCACACAGACTCCAGTTGACCATATTGGTTCCGACCAATTTTAGCCACTTTTTAGAAGTCTCATAAGTGGAATAAATTTCATTCTTTCAACAAGTTGTATCTTTTCTTATCTGTCATTCTGCAAACTGAAGAATTTCTGTTAGTCATTGGATGAACTCTTTGGGGACCTGGTTCTAGTTTCTGTCAAAGGGAAAACAACAAATGTGATAGGTTATCACTTCTGACTTAGTTCAGACTTCTATACCAAAAAACATAGACTAGGCAACTTATAAATAAAAAACATTAGTTCTAGAGGCCAGAAATTTGAGATTGGGCTTCCAGCATGGTTGGGGTCTGGTAAGGACTCTCTTCTGAGTTTCAAACTCCAGACTTCAGGTTGTTTTCTCATTTAGCAGAGAGAGGGAGAGACAGCCTTCTGCGGTTTCTTTTACAAAGCCCGTAATCGCTATCATGAGGTCCTCATGCTTCGGACTTAATTACCTCTGACCTGCTAAGGCCATTACACTGGGGATTAAGGTTCTGGTATGTGAACATGGTGGGGAATCACATAGTCTTCTGCAACTTCCAAAGTTATATTTCTAAAACAGCTATTATTTTCCTCTTACTTGCTCTGTCCTGTGTGTCCTCTCTCAATCTCTCTGTCTCCCTTTCTCTCTTTTTCTCTGCATATGTCTGTCTATCTCTTTCATTTTTCATCTCTGTATTGTAATCCTCAAGATGAGGAAGTGATCTGCAGTGTCCTAAGATGCTCTAGGCACAGACCCACATGATAGAGAACTGAGGAGATGCCCAGGCCAATCGAGAGGAAGGAACTCGGGCTCTCAGTTCACACTGAATCGTGCCAGTTTCCATGAGGCAGATAGAAGGCTGATCTCTCCTCAAATCCAGCTTCAGTTGAAATCACAGCCCCAGCCTCGTAAGAGACCTTGAGGCAGAGGCACCCAACTAAGCTATATCGAGATTCTGGTTCACAAAAGTTGTGAGATAGTATTTGTTGTCAACATGTGCTAAAATTCAGGGAAATTTTGTCAGAGAGGGGCAAATGACTAATCTCTTCTTTCAGTCCCCAGGATCCTCCCTCCCCTCTTTTCCTTTCTTTCTCAGGCTGCCTGCCGCCACAATTGTCCCGTTATAACCTCCTCTGCTGAACACACCTGTGCCTGTGAGTCTTTTCACAAAGAGTGGCTTTTCCCTGACACACTTTCCACACCTGCGCAGGAGTGGCTCTCTGTTGTCATTCTGGTGACAACATAATGTCACCTCAGGGAGGCATTCATGTCCCCTCCAGGCAACCTCTCCCCAGCCCTCCCTCCCAACATTCTACTTTATTTCCATTATAAAATGCTCTTTTCTTTCACATGTACTTGCTTTAGTGTTTTTGTCCTGCTGTCCTCAGACCGTGGGCTCCCGCCGGGATGCAGGGATAACATAATCATTTTTGGTACCACATGGTGAACCTACCAAGGTAGCTGCCACATGGTGAGTGCTAGGGGAAGAGTCGCTGAGTAAAATAACATGGAAAATCACAAAGCCCTTCTTCCCACTTTTGGCCACCCAATAATGTGGAGATCATGAATGATAACAGGAGCTGCAGGACCTCAGGCTGACTCTCCCCCTAGCTCCAGCTGCTCCAGTAAAGCCCAGCGGGCATAAGAAACACGGGGTCTGCCGCCACCTAGAGGCCTCCACTAGCCCTGAAGTCCCAGGTGGAAGCATCACAAAACAGGCACCTGCACTGGGGAATTCTCAAGGCAGTGGCTATTCAGGGACCCCTGGGAAAGGGAGCAGTATCTGAAGACTCCAAGGGCCATAAAAGTAACCTCGGAAACCTCCCTTGATTCCTATTTTCCTCAGCCTCTTTGAGTGTGCTGTGCACTCATTAAACATTTTAACAGCATTCAGAGACATTATTTTCTTCCACTTCTGAATGAGGAACTCAAGGACAGCCCAAAAAACTAGTATTTTTTCTGGGCCCCACACTCCAGAGCCCAGTGCATTGTCACATTCTGCTTTATTCCAAGTCCTCATCTGCCCACATCTCTAGGCCTCTCTCTTCTCTGAAGGACCTCTAGAACCTGAAAAGCCTCTTCCCAGAGTCTCAAAGCACAGTGAGTTACCAATGAAGAGCCAAGGGGAGCAGACACTTATGAGTATCTAGAATTCTTGGTATTATTCCTTTTGAGTACCCCTATTTATGAGAGAGAAAACGAAGGTTTTCTTTCCCGTAGCCCCACTTTATATCACATGGGGTGGTTGGGGGAGGGCATAGCTCATTTTAGTTCCAGGTGCCCATAGAGGTGGGAGTCACAACCCCTGTCCTGTCCTCTTGAAACAGCTGGGAAGATCCCCAGGCCTGGAAGAACCCAGGGAACCTGGAGGATCCTTCATCGCATGCTGTCAGCTCCTGGTCATGTAGCTGGGGGAGTGGATGCCTCTACCTCATGGCAAAGCTGCCTCTTCTATTTCTTCCCGTTTTGTCACTTCTCTGGTTTCCTCTTCTCTAACCTCACCTCCATGATCTCCACCTTAGAAGCCTGTGTGTGTGTGTGTGTGTGGTGTGTTTGTGTGTTCATGGCTGCACACCTATGTGAGAATAAGAAAGGGTAGAAAGCCCAGGTAGAAAGTAGACCACAGGGTTTTCCAGGACTTAGGAGCACTCATTTCCAAAGCAAACCTGATGGGTGGGGTGCATGCAAGGCCTTGGAAGCTGGATCCCTCCCTAATACTCTGTGCTCTTCCCAATTTCTGGGATATGGACCAGTCTTTGCCTTTTTTGGGGGCCTCAGTCTTCCTGTTGTAAAATGGATAGGTGGTCACAAAACTGCATAAACACATGCTCAGTGAAGACAGGGTGTCATGCTCAATACCAGATAGAATATTGGGATGGGGAGAGTTTGAGCAGACTTATGTGTCCACGGTAGCTCAGGCCTCTGAACAGGGCAAATGCAGGTGAACATAAAGCACGGCACAGCCAGGTTTTCTTACCAGGGCTACGGGATGAAACAGTGCACCACAGGCTCTGTTCTGGAGGCTGGTCCCGCAAGATTTTCCCTCCTTCAACCAGCAACTGTTTGATGAATTTCATGTCCTGTGAAGCCCATATCCACCCCCATTACAGTGAGGGGCACAGGGCACTAGACCTGTAAAATAATGTCTTTTGCCTTTTTTTCTTTTCTTTTCTTTTTCTTTTTCTTTATCTTTTTCTTTTAACTGAGTGGCTGTTTCTTCTTTCTCTTTTTCTGTTTTGTTTGTTTTTTAACTAATTTTTAAGAGGTCTTTACAGGTCAGCTGTGGTGCCTCACATCTGTAATTTCAACACTTGAGAGGCTGAGGCGGGCGGATCTTTTGAGGTCAGGAGTTAAAAACCAGCCTGGCCAACCTGGTGAAACCCCGTCTCTACTAAAATTACAAAAAATTAGCCGGGAATGGTGGCACAAGCCTGTAGCCCCAGCTACTCAGGAGGCTGAGACAGAAGAATTGCTGAAACTTGGGAGGCAGAGGTTGCAGTGAGCCGAGATTGCACGTCTGCACTCAAGACAGGGTGACAGAGTGAGTCTCTGTGGAAAAAAAAAAAAAGAGAGAGAGAGGGAGAGAGAGAGTGCCCTTTATGGAAATGCGAGCCCATTTGTAATTTCATGAGTTGTAAATATTTATTCCAATTTGGGAATTTCTTTTCTTATTGTGGTGTTCTCTTTAAGTTTGTTTTGGATGTTATTAGTGTTTTGTTTTGCTTTGTTTCTATGTAACTTCTCCCTAAATTGATTCATAGATTTCCATTTTCACAATACAATATTTTGGCAGAAATCTTGTGGAAACTGTCTAATCAGTTTAAAAAATTTAAATACATATAAAAAATCGAAGAAATGTAAAAACTGTCCTGAAGAATAACAAAGTTTGTGAGCTTAAAATGACATATATTCAGACTTAGATTAAAGCTATAGTAATAAAAGCTATCTATGGTAGTAATGCAAAAATAGGCACAAAGAAAACTAGAAAAACTCGAGAGTCCAACTCAGACTCACACATTTGGACATTTTGTATATTACAAAACAGGCACAGAAGAGGAGTGAAGACAGTCTTCTCGGTAAATAGCCTTGAGTCAACCAGTTATTTATGTGAGAAAAAACACTCCTATCTTATATTATTAACAAATTCCAATGAAAAGTGGATTTTAAATTTTAAGGTCAAAGCTGAAAACAATATTTCTAGTAGATAACATAGATAAATATGTCCATGACTGGCACAGGCCCAGATTTCTTGGGACACAAAATGCATTAATTCTCAAGACAAAAATATGACAAATTGGACTTTATTAGAATTAAAACCTTCTCTTCATAAAAAAAAAGCTTCAGGAGAGATGAAAGGCAAGAACAAAGTGGAAATCAACATTTGTCATATATTGATGTGGCAAAAGCCTTTTATCTAGTTTATTTAACTAAATCCCATCAATTAATAAACAAAGATGCAATACATTGAACAAAAATGGCAAACATGTGACTAGGATTTCCACATACAGAACTGAAGGGCCAACAAGTAGATGAACATATCCACATCCTTATGCATCAGAACAATGCATATGAAAACTACAATTGAATACCACTATGCAATCATTCACATTTTTGAAAACTGACAAAATTAAGTACTAGTGATGATGTCAAGCAACTGGAACTTTCTTATACCATTCTGTGTGCAAACTGTTATAACGGCATTCAAAACCTCTTGAGTAGTAACTCCTTACATACACGATGTACATAAGCACACTCTAGGACCAAGCAACTCTGCTACTAGGTATATACACCCAATAGAATTGCCAGCATATTTTCCAATGCAGACAAATGCTCTAAGCAGCATTATTTGGTACTTTTCCAAACTGAAAAAAACTCAAATGTGCATCAGTAATAAAATAACTAAATAAAACAGCTACATATTCCTTTATAAGGGGACATTATACAGATATAAAATTAATTGGAGACATATTAAAATATACAAAAATCTAACAAATACAATTTAATTAGATTTAAAAGTCCTATCCACAGCAATCAGCCAATAGAAAAGAAAAAGGCATACAAATAGAAAAAAAAATTGAATTCTCTTTCTCCATTTGCATTATGAGTCACTACGTAGACAATGCTAAAGTCTTTCCAAAACTCCTTTTGGAGAAAACTTGAAAAGCCTCCTGAAATGGATAAGCAAGTAAAGTTTTAGGACACAAAACCAATGTACAAAAACCAGTAGTATTTCTATGCATCAACAACTTTGAATTCCTGAACATCTTCTGGTTTTATTGCATTTTCAATTTTTTCCCTCCATTAACTATACATTTTTTCTTTTTTCAGCTAAACTAATTTATTCTTCTGTATAATTTCACCTTGTTAATAAACCCCAGGCCAAAAAGTGGGAATAAAGTATTTGTCTGCATCCTGTTTCCTCATTTTGAAAACTAGTCTAGA
This sequence comes from Homo sapiens, assembly GCF_000001405.40. Lineage (NCBI taxonomy): Eukaryota > Metazoa > Chordata > Mammalia > Primates > Hominidae > Homo > Homo sapiens. The sequence goes on along the minus strand of NW_021160026.1, from coordinate 204,536 downwards.
TGAAACCTATACTTGTTCTAGGGAGTTGGCATAGACAGCATTTATTTCCGTTCTCAGCAGTGATGCCAGCCAGAAAGAGGGAGTTCCGCATTTTCACTTTGGTTAGACAGGACTCTGGATGGTTGTAGGGGAAAAGATCCAAACTCTAAGGGAGTCAAATCAGACATTGCAAAGATTTATACATTTACTCTGGGAGCAATTATTGTGTTAAATTTTGTGCAAAACACTGCGCAAACAGCAATTAAAGTGAAAATTATTAAGGCATTACCTTTACCTTGGGAAACTCACACTAGTCAGATTCTCCGAACCCCAGAACATAACAACAACCTAGTAAAATCTTGTTCAGAGTGAAGAGAGGGTGGGAGCAGGAAGGTAAGGTTAAAAATTAGGCTGGGTGAATGAGATAATTACCCCTAGTCAAGCAGTGGAAGTATGGATGGCTTTGGGATGGGTGAAGACAAAAGAATCTCAGCAGAGGGTGCAGATAAAAAAAGGCAGAAACACAGGAGGCTTATGCAGGAAGAGGAATGAGTTTGCTGGACTGGGGAGAGTGACAGTAAAAAGCAGAGGATAATAGGCATCTCTGGTCATCTAGGGACTATAGGGTGGATTAGTTGGGGGTTACAGAATCAGTGAGGTACTTTTTAACAGTAGGATGGGTAAATAAGAGCTATAATTTGGAATAATTATGTAGCAATGGTGGTTAGAAGCAATAGAAACTCAAAGTATTACATAAATATTTTTTTTCTTATTCTCCCACACAAGCGTTTTGCCTTTCCTCTTAAACTGAGAACGGAGTGGTTTGCTATGATGTTTTTAAATTCTCATAGACAAGCATTATTCTTTGCTGCCTTTTAGTAAAGGTTAGTTTTAACCAAATTAAAGAAGATTGAATGGATTTTCTTGCTCATAATGGTTGAGTGCAATATCTCATACCTTCTATTAGTTTTCAGTATAACTGAAATAACAGAGTGTCAATACTCCATGGAGGGGTGCTCCGCTTGCTAAGGCTCCCTCCTCTGGGCTTGGCCTTCTACACCATGGCTGTCCTGCTCTGGCTGGAGCTGGAATTTGGATTGACCTCTGTGTGTCTTCCTAGCACACAATAGGTGTCCAATTAGCATGGGCAGAATCAAGCTCCTCCCTCTCACCATTTATTTCTCCATTTGTCCCTTGTTGGGAATGGAGAGTCCTGCCACTGAGTTCAGCCCAGGGTTGAAGTTCAAATCTCAGCTGATACTTGGTGGATGTTGACTTTTTTGAGAAGAACTTGGGAGAATAAAACATTATAAAGGCGCTGGCCAGGCACGGTGTCTCATGCCTGTATTCCTGGCATATTGATTGGCTGAGGAGACAGAATTGCTTGAGGGCAGGAATTTGATACCAGCCTTGTCAACATAGTGAGACCCCATTTATACAAAAAACTTGAAGCATTAAAAACATTTAGCCAGGTGTGATAGTTCCAAACTGTTGTCTCAGCTATGCTGGATATTGAGGCAGAGGATCACTTGAGCCAGGAGTTCTAGGCTGCGGTGAACTATGATCACGCTACTGCACTCCAAACAGGCAACCACGCAAGATGATTCAAAAATAAAATCTTTTATTATTCTTCACCCCTATAGTCTCTCCAGAACTTGTGCACTATGTAGCAGAAAGAATCAAACTCCCCAAGAGTTTGGTTCTTGCTCATGATTTGGTTTTCTGCTGCTTGGCTGCCCCGTCATGTCCCCATTTTGTATAAAATAAGAACCCCCCAGTGAAGTGGAGTTTCTCCCCAGCAGAGGGTCTCACCAAGGCCCCAAGACTGGCACTTTAGGTGGAGGCTTGCCTTTCAGCCTCTGAATAATAATTGATACTAAAATTGAGAAGTTTTCCAGACACCAGCTTCCTGAAAGGAGCATCCAGTCAGAAGACAAGATGAGGTCAGTAGCGAAGGTGACTCAGGCTGAATGGGGAAGTCCACCAGCGTATCTGAAGACTGAGCTAGGGGAGGGTTTCCCTAATGTTCACTCCTTCTGCCCTCCATATATTCCTCTACTTTTCCCAAACTTCCCTCTGACATCCTCCAAACTTTCTATCTTCCCAGGGCTTTCTTGCCAGGGAGTCTAAAGAAGTAAAAGCTTTAAAATTGCTTTGATTTTAAAAATAATTTTATTGATTCTTAAAATGTACCGACACAAAATTAGAATACCAATTCTTAAAATGCTTAAAAAGTAAATTAAGTGTAAGTTTACATTTAATTATCTTATTTGATTCCTAACTAAAATACAAAAAAATTTTTTTTGAAACAAGGTCTTGCTCTGTCACCCAGACTGGAGTGCAGTGGTGAGATCTTGGGTTATTGCAACCTCCACCCTCTAGGTTCAAGCGATTCTCATGCGTCAGCCTCCCAAGTAGCTGGGACTACAAGCACACACCACCAATTGGCTAATTTTTGTGTTTTTAGTAGATATGAGGTTTTGCCATGGTGCCCATAGTGGTCGCAAACTCCTCGTCTCAAGTGATTCACCCACCTCGGCCTCCCAAAATGCTGGGATTACAGGTTTGAGTCAACACACCTGACCTTAATTTTTTTTTTTAAATTATAGGTAAATTTAAATTACTCAGAAATAGTCAGAATTAACCATTGGATACCCTGAATCTTTTTCCCATGCATAAGCCTTTCTAATCTTTCTATTCAAATTTAGGATTTGATTCGGCTCTAGTGTTTTAAAACCTGCTTTTTTCCTTCAAAGAAATGCAGACCATCTCTCAGGCCAATGGACATCACGGATTTTCTGATGCTTAGAGGCTGACTGGTTGTTTATCTATGACCTCCCATAATGTACTTAAGTAACACCCTCTTGATGATGGGGTTAAGTTGTTGAAATTACCTTGTCTTTTCTGAAGCACTACGTGGAAAATATTAGATCTTGAAAGAAACACATAAACCCATACCACACACTTCCTTTGAAATTCTCTGCTGCTTATTTAAAGAGATGTTTATTCCTGACTAAGGTCCTACATTACACTCTCTGTAGAACTTTTGGAAACTATAAAAGTACAAGAGAATCAATAAAGCAATTTAATTTCTCACAGGATCCTGTTTCCTATAAGAAACACATCAATTCCTATAATTCGGCATATTTCCTCTCAATCATTTTTCTACACATTTTAAATTTTGGGTTCTAATGTATAAGTTTGGTTATACTTTTTAATGTATGCCTTTCATTAATATGTTTAATGGTATATCATCTCATAAGCACTTCTCCATGTGATAAAAAATTCTTTGTACATCCCATTTTTAATACATATATGTAGCTCCAAAGAAAAAGCATATCTTGTTTACTCTTCTAATCCTGTAGTATTTGAAAACTTTGTTTTTCCAATTCTTTGAGATAATAAACTGGTTAGGGTTAGTATTTTGGTCCCCATTTAAATTTTCTAAGAGTTGCCTTTCTATAAGTGGCTAAGTGACTGTTACAAGGAGAAGAGCCCTCCTGAAGGGGTGTGCCATGGGGTTGAGGCCTCCCTGCAAAGTGCCTTCCTTGTGGCAGATCCCCATGTGTCTTTCTAAAATCAGCACAGTCAGACTGAGCGTGATTGGAATTCTGCAGCTGTGACCCCTCTCGAATCTTCCTTCAATTCAGATGCAACTAATCTCCTCCTTGGTGGACACCAGGAAGTAGGCTGTAGAGCATTCTGTGACCCTGAAGAATGACACGATGTTCTTGATGAAGAGGGTGGATATTCCTGAAGGAGAAATAATGTTTTCTCAACAGCAGAAGCAGATATCAAGTTTATTCAATGACTGGGTCATGGAAAATCCTGTTCTCTACAGGTTGATGCTACATTCCAGGCAAACCCACACCCTCGGTGTATGCCAGAGGCTTCAGAAACACAAAGGAGCTCATACGAGATGAGTGCCAGGTAGCTATGAAGCCTCAAGAACTTCCACTGCAACAGAAGATAATAACTTACTCTGAAGAATTGTTTGCATCTCCCTGCCCATCCCCTGGCTACTGAGTGCAACCATGCAACTCATTGCATGCAACTATAAATATAGCTACAACTATGAAAATAGCTGAGATTCTAAACCACAAATACAGACAACTACGAATATAGGTGAGACAAAAAACTGTAAACCTTCTTAAGGGTGTACAACATGTAACAACGGCTCCCATTAGCTCATGTTTAGATACCAAGGAAATAATAGCAGGAATGTTTTATGTTCACATTCCAAACAAAACCTATTATCATTCATCGTCAGTTCATTTAGTCCTGTTTTACTCATACTTGTTTTACTCTATCTTGTAAGCACATATGCTTCTCTGCTAGAATTAGAGAAATAAATTAGTCCACTGATAGTGTTTCAAAGTTATATAAGTCATTCTATCAGAAGCCTGTTTATAGGAGTACTTGGCACAGATATTTCTGTGGGTCTCTGAGACATTCTTATTTTGTTGAAGACAAAGCCCTGTGGCCTGGAACTGATTTGCAAGCACTTTTAGAAAAATAGCCGAGTACAACCAAAAGTATATACTAATGAAAAAGTAAGCCATGCTTTCAGGTATGTAGTTAGTTGATACACTAAAATATTCTTTTATATAATGCAAACAGCACTAACACTTTAAAAAATAGAATTATATCATGCACAGTGAGGGCACTGGAAATTTTTTAAAAAACTTTCATTTCTGGATTATTTACATTAATAACAATTATGTAAAAAATTTAACCTAGGGGAAGCTAAGCATATGTCTTCTTATTTAATATAACAAGATGCAAAATAGGCAAGTTTCCATATATGATAGTAGGACATAAAGTGTGCTGATACAAATATGAAACATAAAATATAAGTAAGAAATAGAAAAAATGACCTGTGTATGTTGATTATTTATATGTGTGTTTATTACTATTTTTAGTAGCTTAGATTATGTAAATATGTATTATATTTTAGGCAGCAGCAAATATTAACATATTTTTTAACGTGCAGCTTAGATAAGAATTGATGATTACAATTTATTAATATTAGCTACTTACGACAAACATTATGCAAAAAGAAATTCTAAAAATAATTTTGTATTAACTTTGAAAATTTTAAACTCTTTTCTACAGAAGTTTTTTAATTACAGACAATAAAATAGAAAGTTTATAAAAAAGAAAATGCTACTGAGAAATAGTTGGATTTTGATTCATTATTTTTTCTGAATATTAGTACTTGGAGCTTCACTGTTAATAATGCCAATAGGCTACACAAATTTTCTCTTCAGTAAAATGGCAAAACAGAAGGCATTCAATTTTTAAATATACGATGCAATTTTATTACCGTTTTTCTATATAAAAGACACAAAATTTAGACCAATAAAAACAGAATTTCTTCCATGAAATTTCAAGAGCTGAGCTGAGCTGGGAAGAGCTAACCTGCTTAATATCAGAGTTTTAAATTAAAGCAAGAGGCCCACATCAAAGAAATAGTTACGCCTTTTTGTCTTCCTTTCTGTGATTGTGTTAAACAACAGGCAACATTAGATCAAGCACCGACTCCTAATTGTTCCATTTTTTCCTCATGGAAAAGCACCAGGAAAGGGTCAGATGGATCAGCACAAACATGGGGCACTGTCTCACTGCCGAGGTGGCACCCTCATAAAAAACAGGCCCGCAATTTTGTGGAAAAGGGGGCAGGAGAGCGTAGAGGAGAATGTATGAGCAAGATTAAAGAGAATTGAATATTAATAGGAATGTATGAAAATTATTATCAAAGTTCCATTTCTTCTCCAGAAACAGGGATCTGAACAAAAGTTTCTGAAGAAGGCCTCAACCAAAAGCCCCTCAGTTAGGTGCCCCTGAATCTAGATGCCTGGACTGGGAATGAAAATCTACATGTGAGCCTCAGTGGCCAAGATTTCCGGTATTGTTTATTTCAACCCCTCAGAGACTGCAATACACTGACATTTACATGCTTCTCCTAAATGCACATGTCAGCAGCAGTGTGACAACCAATGCTTTCAAAGATATAATGTGGGTATCAGAGTTTCTGGCAAAAATTTAGATAATCTTATCTTTTCAACCTCAAATAACAATATATGCTGAGAAACTTCAAAGGCATGCACCTCCACAAATAATTTTTCAGGAAAGGATAAAGAAGCACAGCTGTAGGAGAAAAATTAGGCTGGAAGTTGATGTTATCTGTGGGAATTGCTAATAATGGAAGCACAGTTTGTTAGAATTTAACATGTCTGATTGGTGAATATAATGTCACAGCAGCATAGATGCAGGAGTACTTGGATCTGACTATGCTATCTAAAGCTAGAATCCTTACATTTTCAAAAGTTTAGAAAAATAGGTTAGTTAGTGGAGGTGGTATTTCTCCTCTTTGGTTGATTTGGGAATTAACACCAATCATCATATGAGTTTCTGGTTCATATGTACACTATGTGTTTTACTCAGGACAATTTAGGTAAATATATAGACTTAATCATTTTCAGGTGTCTGTAAAGGGTGCATTATTAACATTACAGATAACTTTTCATTGGAATAAAATACCTCGACCCAGAATCTTCTATGGCCCCATCAATTGAGGTCAGTCATTTATAATAAAATGAAGTCTACTATTCTTTTTAAAATATACAAAGTAAAAGTCATCAAGATCAAAGTTATTAAGAAATAAAATTATAAGAAAAACACAGCTGTACCATTACATCTTAATAAATCCCAAAATTGTATATATACTGTAGAAATAATATAAGTAGTTATAATGTTTAAATATATTAGAGGAAATTTTAAAAGTAAGATCAAAATAAGGTATATTATCAAAATAATTAGGTAAAAATTTTAAATTTAAAGGATAGAATACATAGAAAAATTACATAATTGAAAAAGAAATTATGAATTAGAAGATATGATGAAGTGAATATTTAGAAGTCCCAATAGGGATAAAACAAATAAACAATATGAAAAATTAAAATACATAAAAATCTAGAATAAGTCATGTTGTTTAAGTGCAAGTTTGAATAAATAAAATGGAGTGAATGTCAAATAGGGAATAAAAATATATAATTATTAAAATAATTAATTATAATAGCTTAAAGGCATTCTGATCAAAAGAAAAACAATAGTTAAAAGCATAATACCATAATAGAGAAAATCACGTAAAGCTATCTAAGATAAAATTCAAATTAATTATAAAGCAATGAAAAGAAACACATTTCTCAATATGTGAATAAGATCAAGAATCCAATAGGTTACGGTTTTAAAAGTTCTGAGGGAAAAACATGTAAATTTAAAATTACATATATTTGAAAAGTTATTTTCAGGTTTAAGGACAAAATGTAACTTAATACACAAATACAATGTAAACAGTATAATTATGTCAGTGAAATGCATTTAAAATTTGCTGAAAATTTAGTTTATGAAGAAAAATACTCTTCCTGAGAACAAACATTGAGATAAAATAAATGTGCAAACATCTAAATAGATGGAAACTATGTTAACACTGTGTGAAATTATACACAATATGTGATATATCCATGTGAAGCATATTTATGGAAGCATAAAAGAAAATGTTATCCCAAGGGTTATATTAAATAAAAGAGTAAATTTGGTAATAGATGAATAACTTATTTTATATCAGTATAATGTGTATTTAAGAGGTTTTTGTCACTAAATTATTAAATATTGAGTGCAAATCCTATATACTGTTTGAACAATACTATTATTTTCTCAGCAAAGATCAGCACTGAAAGACTGATTCCTGCATAGCCACTGACCACAGCTTCTGGAACAACAAAAGCATTGAATCATTAATCCTGAATGTGGCCAATGAGCAAGAGATGAGGAAATCTACCCAGTTCATGACCACAAAGCAACTCACCAGCAGCTGGATGGCCTGGGTAGCTTATTTCTCTGGAGAGACTCTTAGACAGTGACTCCTGATACAGAGATGCTGAGACTGCATTTTGTGCCTGGAGGAGAGAATTACCACGTGTGATTTGAGAGCATCAGTGTTCCTCCAGAAGAGACATTTCTAAATGCTGCTAGTGTGAAAAATGAGCTTATGTTCACGTAGCCCCTGGGGGAAGAAAAACAGTAATATTTAACAGTACATTTTAAGAACCAATAAAATTATTTTTAAAATCAAAGCAATTTTAAAGCTTTTACTTCACTAGACTCCCTGGCAAGAAAGTCCTGGGAAGACAGAAAGTTTGGAGGATGTCAGAGGGAAGTTTGGGAAAAGTAGAGGAATGTACGGCCCACTCAGCCTGAGTCACCTTCGCTACTGACCTCATCTTGTCTCGACTGAGTGCTCCTTTCAGGAAGCTGGTGTCTGGAAAACTTCTCAATTTTAGTATCAATTATTATTCAGAGGTTGAAAGGCAAGCCTCCACCTAAAGTGCCAGTCCTGGGGCCTTGGTGAGACCCTCTGCTGGGGAGAAACTCCACTTCACCTGGGGGTTCTTATTTATACAAAATGGGGACATGACGGGGCAGCCAAGCAGCAGAAAACCGAATCATAAGCAAGAACCAAACTCTTGGGGAGTTTGATTCTTTCTGCTACATAGTGCACAAGTTCTGGAGAGACTATAGGGGTGAAGAATAATAAAAGATTTTATTTTTGAAACATCTTGCGTGGTTGCCCTGGTTGGAGTGCAGCAGCACGATCATAGCTCCCTGTAGCCTAGAACTCCTGGCTCAAGTGATCCTCTGCCTCAATGTCCAGCATAGCTGAGACAAGTTTGGAACTATCACACCTGGCTAAATTTTTTTAATGCTTCAAGTTTTTTGTATAAATGGGGTCTCACTATGTTGACAAGGCTGGTATCAAATTCCTGGCCTCAAGCAATTCTATCTCCTCAGCCAATCAATATGCCAGGAATACAGGCATGAGACACCGTGCCTGGCCAGCGCCTTTATAATGTTTTATTCTCCCAAGTTCTTCTCAAAAAAGTCAACATCCACCAAGTATCAGCTGAGATTTGAACTTCAACCCTGGGCTGAACTCAGTGGCAGGACTGTCCGTCCATTCCCAACAAGGGACAAATGGAGAAATAAATGGTGAGAGGGAGGAGCTTGATTCTGCCCATGCTAATTGGACACCTATTGTGTGCTAGGAAGACACACAGAGGTCAATCCAAATTCCAGCTCCAGCCAGAGCAGGACAGCCATGGTGTAGAAGGCCAAGCCCAGAGGAGGGAGACTTAGCAAGCGGAGCACCCCTCCATGGAGTATTGACACTCTGTTACTTCAGTTATACTGAAAACTAGTAGAAGGTATGAGATGTTGCACTCAACCATTATGAGCAAGAAAATCCATTCAATCTTCTTTAATTTGGTTAAAACTAACCTTTACTAAAAGGCAGCAAAGAATAATGCTTGCCTGTGAGAATTTACAAACATCATAGCAAACCACTCCGTTCTCAGTTTAAGAGGGAAGGCGAAAGGCTTGTGTGGGAGAATAAGAAAAAACATATTTATGTAATACTTTGAGTTTCTATTGCTCCTAACCACCATTGCTACATAATTATTCCAAAATATAGCTCTTATTTATCCATCCTGCTGTTCAAAAGTACCTCACTGATTCTGTAACCCCCAACTAATCCACCCTATAGTCCCTAGATGACCACAGAGGCCTATTATCCTCTGCTTTTTACTGTCACTCTCCCCAGTCCAGCAAACTCATTCCTCTTCCTGCATAAGCCTCCTGTGTTTCTGCCCTTTTTTATCTGCACCCTCTGCTGAGATTCTTTTGTCTTCACCCATCCCAAAGCCATCCATACTTCCACTGCTTGACTAGGGGTAATTATCTCATTCACCCAGCCTAATTTTTAAACTTACCTTCCTGATCCCACCCTCTCTTCACTCTGAACAAGATTTTACTAGGTTGTTGTTATGTTCTGGGGTTCGGAGAATCTGACTAGTGTGAGTTTCCCAAGGTAAAGGTAATGCCTTAATAATTTTCACTTTAATTGCTGTTTGCGCAGTGTTTTGCACAAAATTTAACACAATAATTGCTCCCGGAGTAAATGCATAAATCTTTGTAATATCCTATTTGGCTCCCTTAGAGTCTGAAACTTTTCCCCTTCAACCATCCAGAGTCCTGTCTAACCAAAGTGAAAATGGGGAACTCCCTCTTTCTGGCTGGCATCACTGCTGAGAATGGAAATAAATGCTGTCTATGCCAACTCCCTAGAACAAGTATAGGTTTCATCTAGACTAGTTTTCAAAATGAGGAAACAGGATGCAGACAAATACTTTATTCCCACTTTTTGGCCTGGGGTTTATTAACAAGGTGAAATTATACAGAAGAATAAATTAGTTTAGCTGAGAAAAGAAAAAATGTATAGTTAATGGAGGGAAAAAATTGAAAATGCAATAAAACCAGAAGATGTTCAGGAATTCAAAGTAGTTGATGCATAGAAATGCTACTGATTTTTGTACATTGGTTTTGTGTCCTAAAACTTTACTTGCTTATCCGTTTCAGGAGGCTTTTCAAGTTTTCCCCAAAAGTAGTTTTGGAGAGGCTTTAGCATTCTCTACGTAGTGACTCATATTGCAAATGGAGAAAGAGAATTCAATTTCTTTTTCTATTTGTATGCCTTTTTCTTTTCTATTGGCCGATTGCTGTGGATAGGACTTTTAAATCTAATTAAATTGTATTTGTTAGATTTTTGTATATTTTAATATGTCTCCAATTAATTTTATATCTGTATAATGTCCCCTTATAAAGGAATATGTAGCTGTTTTATTTAGTTATTTTATTATTGATGCACATTTGAGTATTTTTCAGTTTGGAAAAGTACCAAATAATGCTACTTCGAGCACTTTACTACATTGGAAAATATGCTGGCAATTCTATTGGGTGTATATACCTAGTAGCAGAGTTGCTGGGTTCTAGAGTGTGCTTATGTACATCGTGTATGTAAGGAGTTACTACTCAAGTGGTTTTGAATGTGGTTATAACAGTTTGCACACAGAATGGTATAAGAAAGTTCCAGTTGCTTGACATCATCACTAGTACTTAATTTTGTCAGTTTTCAAAAATGTTAATGATTGCATAGTGGTATTCAATTGTAGTTTTCATATGCATTGTTCTGATGCATAAGAATGTGGATATGTTCATCTACTTGTTGGCCCTTCGGTTCTGTATGTGGAACTCCTAGTCATATCTTTGCCAATTTTGTTCAATGTATGCATCTTTGTTTATTAAGTGATGGGATTTAGCTTAATAATCTAGATAAAAAGCTTTTGCCAGATCAATATATGACAAATGTTGATTTCCACTTTGTTCTTGCCTTTCAGCTCTCCTGAAGCTTTTTTTTTTTTTGAAGAGAAGGTTTTAATTCTAATAAAGTCCAATTTGTCATATTTTTGTCTTGATAATTTATGCATTTTGTGTCCCAAGAAATCTTGGCCTGTGCCAAAGTCATGGACATACTTATCTATGTTATCTACTAGAAATATTGTTTTCAATTTTCACCTTAAAATTTAAAATCCACTTGTCTCGAAATTTGTTAACAATATAAGATAGGTTTATTTCTTTCTCACATAAATAACCAGATGACCCAAGGCTAATTACCGAGATGCTGTCTTCTCTCCACTGCTCTTCTGTGCCTGTTTTGTAATATACAAAATGTCTAAATGTGTGAGTCTGAGTTGGACTCTCGAGTTTTTCTAGTTTTCTTTGTGCCTATTTTTGCATTACTACCATAGATAGCTTTTATTACTATAGCTTTAATCTAAGTCTGAATATATGGCATTGGAAGCTCACAAACTTTGTCATTCTTCAGGACAGTTTTTACAGTTCTTTGATTTTTTAATATGTATTTAAATTTTTAAACTGATTAGACAGTTTCCACAAGATTTCTGCCAAAATATTGTATTGTGAAAATGGAAATCAATAAATCAATTTGGGGAGAAACACTAATAACATCTAAACCAAACTTAAAGAGAACACCACAATAAGAAAAGAAATTGCAAAATTGGCATAAATATTTTCAACACATGAAATTACAAAGGGGCTCATGTTTCCATGAAGAGCACTCTCTCTCTCCCTCTCTCTCTCTCTCTCTTTTTTTTTTTTTTTACAGAGACTCACTCTGTCACCCAGTTTGGAGTGCAGTCGTGCAATCTCGGCTCACTGCAACCTCCGCCTCCCAAGTTTCAGCAATTCTTCTGTCTCAGCCTCCTGAGTAGCTGGGGCTACAGGCTTGAGCCACCATTCCCCGCTAATTTTTTTGTAAGTTTAGTAGAGACGGATTTTCACCAGGTTCGCCAGGCTGGTTTTGAACTCCTGACCTCAAATAATCCACCTGCCTCATCCTCCCAAAGTGTTGAAATTACAGGTGCGAGGCACCACAACTGACCTGTAAAGACCTCTTAAAAATTAGTTAAAAAAACAAACAAAACAGAAAAGGAGAAAGAAGAAACATCCACTCAGTTAAAAAAAAAAAAGAAAAAGAAAAGAAAAGAAAAAAAGGCAAAAGACATTATTTTACAGGTCTAGTGCCCTGTGCCCCTCACTGTAATGGGGGTGGATATGGGCTTCACAGGACATGAAATTCATCAAACAGTTGCTGGTTGAAGGTGGGAAAATCTTGCGGGACCGACCTCAAGAGCAGATCTTGTGGTGCACTGTTTCATCCTGTAGCCCTGGAAAGAAAACCTGGCTGTGCCGTGCTTTATGTTTGCCTGCACTGGCCCTGTTCAGAGGCCTGAGCACGCATGGACACCTAAGTCTGCCCAAACTTTCCCCATCCCAATATTCTCTGTGGTATTGAGCATGACACCCTGTCTTCACTGAGCATGTGCTCATACAGTTTTGTAGCCAACTCTTCATTTTACAACAGGAAGACTGAGACCTCCCAAAAAGGCAAAGACTGGTCCAGATCCCAGAAATTGGGCAGAGCACAGAGTATTAGGGAGGGATCCAGCTTCCTAGGCCTTGCATGCACCCCACCCATCAGGTTTGCTTTGGAAATGAGAGCCCATGAGTCCTGGAAAACCCTGTGCTCTACTTTCTACCTGGGCTTTCTACTCTTCAATGTTGTCACATAGGCATGCAGGCATGCACACACAAACACATCACACACACACAGGCTTCTAAAGTGGAGATCTAAAGTGGAGATTCTAAAGTGAGGTTAGGGAAGAGGAAACCAAAGAAGTGACAAAAGGGGAAGAAACAGTAGATGCAGCTTTGCCATGAGGCAGAGGCATCCACTCCCCCAGCTACATGACCAGGAGCTGACAGCATGCGATGAAGGATCCTCCAGGTTCCCTGGGTTCTTCCAAGCCTGGGGACTTTCCCAGCTGTTTCAAGAGGACAGGACTGGGGTTGTGACTCCCACTTCTGTGGGCACCTGGAACTAAAATGAGCTATGCCCTCCACCCACCACCCCGTGTGATATAAAGACAGGCTACGGGAAAAAAAGCCTTTGTTTTCTCCCTCATAAATAGGGGTACTGAGAAGGAATAATACCAAGGATTCTAGATACTCATAGGTGTCTGCCGCCCTTGGCTTTTCATTGGTAAATCACTGTGCTTTGAGACTCTGGGAAGAGGCTTTTCAGTTTCTAGAGGTCCTTCAGAGAAGAGAGAGGCCTAGAGACTTGGGCGGATGAGGACTTGGAATAAAGCAGAATGTGACAATGCACTGGGCTCTGGAGTGTGGGGCCCAGAAAAAAATACTAGTTTTTTGGGCTGTCCTTGAGGTCCTCATTCGGAAGTGGAAGAAAATAATGTCGCCGAATGCTGTTAAAATGTTTAATGAGTGCACAGCACACCCAACGAGGCTGAGGAAAATAGGAATCAAGGGAGGCTTCCGAGGTCACTTTTATGGCCCTTGGAGCCTTCAGATACTGCTCCTTTTCCCAGGGGTCCCTGAAGAGCCACTGCCTTGAGAATTCCCCAGTGCAGGTGCCTGTTTTGTGATGCTTCTGCCTGGGACTACAGTGCTAGCGGAGGTCTCTAGGTGGCGGCAGACCACGTGTTTCTTGTGCCCGCTGGACTTTACTGGAGTAGCTGGAGCCGGGGGAGAGACAGGCTGAGGGCCTGCAGCTCCTGTTATCATTCTTGATCTCCACATTATTGGGTGACCGAAAGCAGGAAGGACTTTGTGATTTTCCATGTTATTTTACTCAGCGGCTCTTCCCCTAGCACTCACCCTGTGGCAGCTACCTTGGTAGGTTCACCATGTGGTACCAAAAACGATTATGTTATCCCTGCATCCCCGCGGGGAGCCCACAGCCCGAGGACTGCAGGACAAAAACACTAAAGCAAGTACATGCGAAAGAAAAGAGCATTTTATAATGGAAATAAAGTAGAATGTTTGGAGGGAGGGCTGGGGAGAGGTTGCCTGCAGGGGACATGAATACCTCACTGAGCTGACATTATGTTGTGACCAGAATGACAACTGCGCAGGTGTGGAAAGTGTGTCAGGGAAAAGCCACTCTTTGTGAAAAGACTCAGAGGCACAAGTCAGTTTAGCAGAGGAGGTTATAAAGGGACAAGTGTGGCTGTAGGCAGCCTGAGAAAGAAAGGAAAAGAGGGGAGGGTGTATCCTGGGGTCTGAAAGAGGAGGTTAGTCATTTGCCCATCTCTGACAACATTGCCCTGAATTTTAGCACATTTTGACAACAAATACTATCTCACAATTTTTGTGAACCAGAATCTCGATATAGCTTAGTTGGGTGCCTCTGCCTCAAGGTCCCTTATGAGGCTGGGGCTGTGATTTCAACTGAAGCTGGATTTGGGGAGAGATCAGCCTCCAATCTGCCTCATGGAAATTGGCAAGATTCAATGTGAACTGAGAACCCCAGTTTCTTCCTGTTGATTGGCCTGGGCAGTTCCTCAGTTCTCTATCATGTGGGTCTGTGCCTAGAGCATCTTAGGACACTGGAGATCGCTTCCTCATCTTGAAGAATACAATAGAGAGATGGAAAATGAAAGAGATAGACAGACATATGCACAGAAAAAGAGAAAGGGAGACAGAGAGATTGAGAGATGAAACACAGGACAGAGCAAGAGGGAGGAAAATAATAGCTATTTTAGAAATATAACTTTGGAAGTTGCAGTAGACTATGTGATTCCCCACCATATTCACATTCCAGAACATTAATTCCCAGTGTAATGGCCTTAGCAGGTCAGAGGTAATTAAGTCCTAAGCATGAGGCCCTCGTGATAGAGATTACTGGCTTTGTAAAAGAAACCGCAGAAAGCTGTCTGTCCCTCTCTCTGCTAAATGAGAATACAACCTGAAGTCTGGAGTTTGAAACTCAGAAGAGAGTCCTTACCAGACCCCAACCATGCTGGAAGCCAATCTCAAATTTCTAGCCTCCAGAACTAAAGTCTTTTGTTTATAAGTTGCCTAGTCTATGTTTTTTGGTATAGAAGTCTGAACTAAGTCAGAAGTGATAACCTATCACATTTGTTGTTTTCTCTTTGACAGAAACTAGAACCAGGTCCCCAAAGAGTTCAACCAATGACTAGCAGAAATTCTTCAGTTTGCAGAATGACAGATAAGAAAAGATAGAACTTGTTGAAAGCATGAAATTTATTCCACTTATGAGACTTCTAAAAAGTGGCTAAAATTGGTCGGAACCAATATGGTCAACTGGAGTCTGTGTGAAATAAGCTCACTGATGTCAGAGCCCAAATTTCCATCACATGTTTTGTACTAACTGTCCCCAAATTTGCACATGACCTGTGTGTAGCAAGAAAAGATGGCTGTTCATGCCCAGTGACTTTCCATACATTTTTCCTTTCAGCAATTCCCTGCTAAACAAGAAGCCACCTCTTAAACCTTTCTGAGAATATTACTACCTTTAAGTAAGCACAGGGAAAGAGGCTTCAGCTGGAATCCAATGCCTTTGTTGGAAACCCGGTGTTATAAGTACCGGCTTCTGAGGCACTGAGAGGTGAGCTGCGTTTTAAAAATAACAGAGTCACTCACAACTTAGTGTTGTTGTGAGACTTTGTTGGGGGCGCCCACCACATAGGCTGAGATGAGGCATATACATGTGATTCCAAATATAATGCACAGCACTGGAATATTTAATGCCAGAATACAGTATCTGATTTTCTTTTGATTTCAACCTCTTCTGCTGTAGAATGGAAAAATAAGGCCATATATATAAAATATATATCTTTTATGTATACAGATATATGAAATATATATCTTTTATACATAAAGGTGTATATGTATAAGTTTATATATTATATATAATATATAAATATAAATTATATATACATAGTATATATTTTTTTTGAGACACAGTCTCGCTCTGTCACCCAGGCTGGAGTGCAGAGGCATGATCAAGGCTCAATGTAATCTCTGCTTCCTTGGCTCAGGTGATTCTTACACCTCAGCCTCCTGAGTGGCTGGGATTACAGGCAAGCATCAACACATCTGGCTAATTTTTGCATTTTCAGTGGAGAAGGGTTTTTGCCATGCTGGCCATGGCTGGTTTCAAACCCCTGGCCTTAAGTGTTCCACCCGTCTTTGGTCTACCAATCTGCTAAGATTACAAGCAAGAGCAACTACATCCCACTGATTTTGATTCATTCTATCTCATATATCTCCAATGACTCTTTCTGGAAGTTGATGCTAGCCTAATCCCATTATGCATACTTCAGGGCTGGGGAGAACTGAAGCGCACAGTCATTTTCATATGGTCACAGAAATGAAAAGGAAAAGAAGATTTTAATCCAACTCTCTTCTCTCAAACCTGGGGCCCTGGCTGTATTTAGATCTTTATGGGGAGTAAGAGGCATAATTGTGTTTGCATAACTGTTTACAGGAAAAGAGTTGACATGGGAGAGGAGGGTGAGCAATCAGCAGCCCAGCAGGGACTTTGCATAGATTTATGGAGGAAAAGGGCTCAGGGGATAAAACCTTGAAGAAGTTAACAGACTTCCCTTGTGACAGAACCTAACAGAATTTAGAACTTTGGAACCAGAAACCCACATTCTAGAGACAGCCCTCTATCTAGCTAATTTCATGGGAGATGCTTGAGAGAGCACTGTGTTCTCATTGTGTGCTATATTCCTAAGCTGTTGCCTGAGAAAGGTTCAAAGTGAGAGCCTTTTCTGACCATATACATATTGGCTCAGCCTACATCCTTGATACCACTGGCCATTCAACAAGAGGCAAACACAGGTAACACAGTGAAGCCTAGGTCAGGTCCGTCCATGCCAGGCCACCCGTGTCATCTAATCTGGGCAATCCGACCCTGTCTACCATTACCATGTGTTGCAGGGGGAGCAGGAAAGGAGGGGGCTCTTTCTCACAGGGGCAGGCTGTAAGGCATTGGAACCCTGGCGGGTATGTCATGTTCATACCCAGGTCATGGCTGGTGGAATAAAAAGTTGAGCATTGTGGACCAAGTGTGTCTACTCAGATGTGAATCCCAAGGCCTTAAGCTGTCCTCGGGTTTCCTCATTGGCTGGGGGTCTATGCAGATACTCCTATGTTCCTGATCTAGGAAACAGAATTTCTAATGGAGATGTTACCTGGTGGTAAAAACAAAGGAGATAATTAATTTTTTTTCTTTTTTCTTTTTTTTTTTCTGCTTCGCTGCTGGGAACACTCTTTGTAGAGTTTCATTAAAATCATTGAGCAGGTATTTGATGGGTTCAAGTCCCCCAACTCCTTGGACAACTGGCAGGTTCACCACACCCCTAAGCATGGCATACAGTGAGTTATGGTGAGAGCAGGCACATGGGGATCTCTACAGACAGGGGTCTGACAAAACCAGGATGGGCCCAGGATCCAGACCCAAATATGGAATTTCTCTGCGCTTTCTCTTAGGGGATTTCCATGAGTGACCCAAAGATCTGCCTCCCAAAAATCTAGCCTTAACTAGTCCCAAAGGCAACTTGGTTAAGTGTAAAGTCCCTTTTTACATTCTTGTAGAAATATCAGAGAAGACCTTTGTGTTGTTTTTACTTTACACTAGGCTGTATTTATTCATGTTACTACAGTTGGTATGGTTTTAATTATTCCCCCTGGTATCACCTGTAGCAGGCAGCTTCACGGCACTGCCAGACCTTCCCCAAGACTTCAAAGCCACCACTAGCATTAATACTCTAGAAAAATAGGGAAGAGTTTACACGAAAAGGGGGTTATACTGTTCCCTGCATTTGTGTGCAATGTGTCATCTCAGAGAACACATCCCTCTAGCCCATCAGGGCAGAAGTGGTGCCCTCACATATCTTTGTAATGTTCTATAATGGGGGTCACTTCCCAGAGTGGTTTAGCCTTTCAGTGACTATTATTTCTGATCAAAATGGAATAAAACTAGAAATGAATAACAGAAGAAAACAAAAATAGCAACATATATATGGAAATTAAACAACTCACTTTTGAGCATGCTCATGTTTAAGGGTTGTAAGACTTGATATTATGAAGAATGCTCATGATGCCTAAAGCGAGTTACAGATTCAATGCAATCCCTTTTAAATTAGCAATTTTTTTGAAATAGAAAAAGGAACCAACAAATTATGTGGAATGTCAAGCGACCATAAAGAGCCCAAAAATGTTTAAAAAAAAAACAATGTTAGCGGCCTCAACTTTTCTGATTTCAAAGCACATTACAAAGCAACAGCAATGAAAACAGTTTGTTTCTAGCATAAAGACAGACAATTTTTCCAATAAAACAGAAGGTAGCACAGACGTAAACCTCGCACATATGAGCAAATAGTTATTTGCATACCCATATTCGTTGCAGCATTATTCACAAAGGCCAATAGGTGAAAGCAACACAAACTTTCCTCATAGAATGAATAAATAAATATAATTTGTAATACAAAAGTAATGGAATATTACTCAGCTTTTAAAGGCAGAAAATCTTGTAGCATCCACAATAAAGAGAAATCTTGAGAACATGATGCTAAGTAAAATTAGTCACAATAAAACAGATACTCTATGATTCTACTTATATGTAATATCTAAAGTATTGAAACTTAGAACCAGAAAATAGAATGATTTTTATCATGAGCCAGGTGGTAAGGAAAATGGGTAGTTGTCATTTCATGTGTACTGAGTTTCAGTTTTGCAAAAGAAAAAAGTTTTCAAATATGTTGCAAAGCAATGTAAATACATTAACATGACTGAACTGTATAAGAAAAAATGTTAAAGATTCTAAATTTTATGTTATGTATTTTTACCACAATCGAAATTAAAAATGACACCCAATGGCCAAGAGAGATGGCTCATGCCTGTAATCTCAGCACTCTGGGAGGCTGAGGCATGCAGATTACTTGAGGCCATGAGTTCAAGACCAGCCTGGCCAACATGGTGAAACCCCAGCTCTATGAAAAACACAAAAATTAACCAGGCGTGGTGGTGCACACTTTTAATGCCAGCTACTCAAGAGGCAGCAGCTGGAGAATTGCTTTAACCTGGGAGGTGGAGGTTGCAGTGAGCCAAGATTGTGCCACTGCACTTTGGCGACAGGGTGAGAGTCTGTCAAAAAATAAATAAATAAGTAAAGACACCCGAAGAGAGAGAGTTACAAAGTTTTTGAAAAATTATCTTCAAATCGCATAAGTCTTTCTTTCACACTAGGATAATATAAACAATAGATGTTGAAATTAAGACAATTTCCATGATTACTCACTTAGACAGAATCAATTATTGGCCATCAAACAAGAAGAAAATGCACAAGTCATAAACAAAATAGGGGCAATATTTATACAAGCAAACAAACAATTAAATCATTATATTAACAAAAGACCATAGGGATGGTTCATATTTTTTGCCTCACACTGTCTTAAGGTGTACAGATTTGAATATTGTCATAGAAAATTATATTATATAAATTCAAACTAAAAACAATAAACTGATGTAAGGTGCCCTACCCTAAAACATGAAACACAGAAATGCAAAATTGCAAAACAAACTTAAAAGAAACCTTCCCCGAATTCTTACTTGAATAATGTAATTCAAAATCATAATAAATAGGTAGAAAGTAAAAACACAATTAACTGCTGTGAGACAGCCTACTCTAAAAAATACAGAAACATAAATTCTAAAACATAATTAAGAGAAACTTTGATCTATAAAATCCTGAATAAACATAGTGTCCAACTGAAAAAGAATCCTAGGTAACTACAATTTTCAACTCTTCCTTTGAATCCGTAAAAAGTATAAATTTTGAATTATTTGGATACAATTAGGGCAACAACATTTCAAAGAAACCATATTATAATTATTAGAAAGAGATGTGATGAGAAAGTTTTAAGAAATAAAAATTTAAGTAATACTAGAGAAAGTTTTAAATTATGCTACTGATGCATTGCTGCTTTCCTTACACAAAAGGGTAAGGCTGTAATCTAGCCTTTAATAGAAAGGTCTTACATTTTTACATATGGTGACAATATAAATATTGTAAATACAGTATAAAACATTGACAGATAAAATAAAAACTGGAAATAAATTGTACTATTAGTCAAATAAAAGTTGGGAAAACTGGAAGAAAATGTTAATAGTAACATTGTGCCTAGAGTCAATTAAACATACAAGCCAAATATTTTAATAATTAATTATATAATTGATACATAACATATACATTTGGGCATGCTGTTTTACAACTTCTCAAACTGAAATTACAGAAAAATGTGACACATGATAATTCAGAAAGTGAAAACACAGTCATAGTAATCTTCATATTAAAGAAAACAGAATCATAAAATAATAAGTGAGAAATAAGGTAATAATTGTGAATTCAATATATGTTGAACAATATTCTAATTTCCCTTACGGAAAAAGTTTTTGTAAGAAATCTGTAAAATGAGTACTTACAATAAACCATCCTACAGTAGAGGCTGTTGGCATACAGTGTTTAAATTTCTATGATTAGGTCCTACTAAGGAAAAGAAAATTTTAAAATAAAATAATTAGATTTTCCTATTTAATAAGATAATTTTTGCCTATAAAGTTTTTCAGTCTAATTTTTTTGTAGAATTAGGTTTTAGCTTTCATAAAACTTGACATTATGAAGCAGAAAACAGGTGTCATCTGTCTCTGTTGTTCCTATAATTTCTAACCCAAATGCCAATTCCTCCACAACTCCCCTCACACACTTCTGAATTGAAGCAGAACAGATTTATTAAAAATGGCATAACAGCGGTCTCCAGAAATGTGCAGAGATTTTCCCAGATCCCCAAAAGCAATGACAAACTATTCAGATCATTTAGGTTCTCACAAGATTCTGGGAGGACTTCGGCTTTCAGTGTGAATGCACTGGAAGATTCTAAGAGAGAGGGAGAGAGAGAGAATGTGTGTGTGTGCTTGTGTGTGTGTGTGTGTGTGTGTGTTGAAATCAGAACCCCACCTTATGTGTTTATTGTGGAATTTGGAAATGAAAGCCTAAAGCCCAAAATTAAAATCACACATGATAGCACGTTGCAAACTGTTTTCTGTGCTAGATGGGTCGTTCTAGGGTGTAGGACCCTGGTAACACCGTTTTCCCCTCCTTCCGGAAAGAGCTACTCACACTGCTCAAAGCCTGCATCCACATGTACCATGTCAAAGACCAGCTCAAGAGCCTGGACCCATATGCCACCTTCAGCAGGGTTGACTGCAGCTCCTTGTTCTTCCTGAGCATCTTCTCCAATGGTGACCTGAGAGTTGCGGGAGGCATTGGGGCCAGGATTGAACAGAGGAAAAAGGAGCATGGAGGCCAGGTGCTGAGGACCAGGCCATCTTACCTGGAGAGTTCTGGCTCTGAGACATCCAGACCAACATGACGTTTAGGTGCAGACAGCTGGCCCTGGGTGGCCCTGTGCTGATCACCGGCCTCAGCCCCTCAAACAGTGGGAAATGGAAGAATGGCTTGGAAATGGGCCCTGTCGACTGTGTGTCATCTGAGCACATTCTCCCAGGGGCCCAAGAAGGGCCATCGTGTCTCCAGAACCAGAACTGGAAGGTAAACTGTCAGGGGGGACAAGGAAGAGGGTCCTCAGTTGGGTGGAGGGTCTCACAGCAAGACGCCTGGCTTAATCAAGCTTGGCCATTCCTGAAGCACGTTCAGTGACTAAAAGTGCCTACCATGAGCAGCTGGAACCCACTCCCTGAGAGCTGCAAGATCCATGGGGACCTCATGTACCTGTTTGTAATTACAGCCAAGGACCAGCAGGCAGCATTACCGCATCCACATGGGGCTTTTGCTGGACACAGTAAGTCTCTGCCAGCCCCTCCCAGGCTCCTGGGATGCCACTTGTTCTGGATCTGTGGACAGATAAGCAGGATACTTGCTCAGTGTCCGTCCACTCCTTGTGGCCTGAAGCCTATCGCTCAACCCTAGCCCCACCAGACCTGCTTCCTAAGGCATTCCTCATGCCAGAAGGAAAGGCAATGCCTTTGTCCCACAGCCCCTGCCTTGTGTCATGTCATGTGGGGGTATGGAATGAATCGGCAGCCGAAACTCCTGTCCTTCTGCCTGAGAATTCTATCTTCTCTGTCTGAGTTACCCTCTAGGGAGCTGTCAGTGGGAGAGAGAGCAGCTGTGGAAGAGAGTCCCACCTGCTTGTGTTTGACTTCAGGGCAGCCTCTCAGGGCAAGAACCCAGAGCAGGTGGAGGCCTCACAGAAGCCTGTGGCAGGGCTCTGGGCTTGATGGGCTGAGCATCTCCCTATCTGCTGCCTGCAATGGGGCCCAGAACCATCCATTCAAGAGGGTCACCACCATATTGCAGGTGTGCAGCTGGATGGTTCCCAAGGCAGAGGCTGCCATGGACTGCAAGCACACAGAGGATGTACACCTTGAGGGTGGACTATGAGGAGAATATTTTTGAAGAGGTGCATGCAGCCTGGCCCTGCCTTCACTGGGAACCCCCTTCCTTCTGGGTACTAGACAGAATTCTGTACACTTTCCTGGAGGCTCCATTCTGGTCTGTTCATTTGGAAGTTTCAGGCTGTCTGTGAGGAAGTAACAAAAGAGATGTCTCAAAGCAGGTTGTGGGGCACAGGCTGAGCCCTTGTCTCCCTCCCTAGTCCCTCTGCAGACACGGGGCTGGAAGAAGGACCTGTGGATAATGAGGGAACTGCTCTTCGAGAACCGGCCTGAGCAGCTGCTTCAAGAAAGAGCCACATTAAAGGTGCCTATAGCCCCTGATGAGGGAATGGCAGCCTCAGGCCCGCCTGCCATCTGTGAGCAGGTTTTCTTGCTAACAGGATGAAAGCAAAGAAAGCTGGAATGAGCCCAGCCCTCTCAGGCAGCTTGAAGGCTGTTGGGGTTCTTTCCAGGCCTTCTAGCCTTCTGCTTCTTGGCAGGCCACTCAGGCACCTTTTTCCAGCCTCTGAGACTTCCATGCTCTGGAAGGAGAGGGTCCCACTTTTCACTAGGCTATGGGGCAGGCCCATCCAGCTCCCGGCTGCCACTAACAACCATGGGGCTCTCACCTGGGCACCCACTGCCCAAACATGGCCCTTCTAAGGCAGAAGATCATGTGTCTTGCAGTTTCAGCTTGCTAGGGCTTAAAAGTTATCAGTGCTGTTATTAAGATAGGGAAGTGAGAAAGGAAAACTTGCTGTAAAAGTTTCCCATAATCTTACCACGGAGATCATCAGCACAGATGACAGCACAGGTGGGGCTGCTGGAGAGGCTGAGGGAGAGTGTCCAGCCTGTTCTGCCAGCTGGTCCTTGCCAGGGGTGTCTCGTGACCCAGTCCCTTAGAGAAGCATGCAGATATCTTAGCAAGTATCTGGAAGGTGCAGATCAGGGCAACCCAGCACCACTGATGGTGGAGTGGGCCTACCTCCCATCAAGCTGTGTCTCCACAGCTGACCCTTGAAGCCAGGAGGTGATTTACAACATGTGCAAGGCAGTGAGCCCCATCAGCTGTGTGGCATTCAACACTCACTTCAACTCGGACATCTCACCAGAAAGCAGTGGGGACTGGCCAATGCAGAAGCCTGCAAAGTGGAACAGAGCGTCATGGGGTGGGGGATGTGGGGCCTGCCTGCTCATCTGAGCACTGCTCCCTGAGGGTGTGATCTGCAGGCTTCCTGAAGGAGGGCTGTGAGCTCATCTGCGAGGCCCTGAGCCTGTGGAACATGGCTGAGGCCAAGCCCATGGGGATTTGTGTCTACTTGCACCTCCTTGCTCATCTCAGTACACTACAGGTGACTGTGCCGAGGTGGGCCTTGAGCATCCCCTGGGCTGTGTTAGCAAAGGGCTCTGGGCCTGGCCTGGCATTGAGGGATGGCAAATAAGGGGCCTGGGGTTGCATTGTCACCCCCTATGGTAGCATAAAATGAGAGAGTCCAGACCTGCAGGACTGGAACCCTATCAAGGGGGTTAGGAGGCTGCTCACTTTCCCTCAGGGACCCATGTGGAGGAGCTGAGGGAGGTTAAGGAGACCCTAGGGACTCACTTGTTCTGTCTGGGCTTCCCTCTGCTCCATCGTTTGAAGACCATTTTCTGGGAAGAGCTCAGGAACCTCCTGTGCTCTAGTGAGACGGGGCCTCCCCTCACAGGGTATTCTGAGACTGTGAGTGAGAAGCTGACACAGTGCCTTGCAATACTCACGGGAGCTGTCATCCTCTGTGACCATCACGTGGCCTTGTAGTGTTCAGACTGCCTGGCCTGCCTGGGGTTTGGTGAGGCTGTTTTGTGGTCAGGTGCTTTAGAAGCTCACTTTCTCTGCAATCAAACAGTGACTGTTTTCATGTCTGTTTATGGGTTTAAAAAATCCTAATATTTCCTTTATAGTAGTTCAGCTTGTATGTGTTTATTTGTATAAATTTTATTAGAATAAAGATAGCTTAAGACAATAGCATTTTAAGGTCTTAATGGGGCATAGACTTTCATGTCACAACAGCTATTGTTGACCTCTGTTTGCTACCTTTGTGTAATGTATACACATAAAGTACAGCCAGATGTGACTAGAGCTGAGCTTCTTGTGCTTGCTTGCTGGCCTGCAGTCAGGTGGACTCTGGCTGTGAGGCAGTGCCCACCCTGGATCTACATCCCCCACCCCCTCTCCTTAGTCCCTGAGTAACCAACAAGGCCGTGCTAATTAGAGGGCGAGTGATGGGCATCGGGCACCCCAATACTATCCGGGAAGATTTGAATGCCATCTGGGCTGGAGCTGTTGGGATTAGGGGCTGTGGCTGTCTTGGCTTGTCATGGTGCCACCCACAGATGTGCCTGCCCTGTGCTGCTTCTCCAGCAGCCGGCTGCCCATGGCCCTGAGCCTGTCACACCATGCTTGCTACCTCATGCTGCTTGTGTTTGAAAAACCCATCCGGAGATGACGCTGCTGGATGTAAGTCCTGAAAAGAGGGCATCACCTTTGTCCTGGGGGATTAGGAGCTGACCAGATTCCTCTTGACTCCCTCCCAGAACAAGTGGGGCAGGTGCTGCAATTAATGTTGCCCCCCAGAAGATGTGTTTGCACTGGCTGAGCAAATATACGATGCAGAGACCTAAATGAAGACACGTGAATGGGGTGTGTGGACATCAGTTAGTAGCTGGGAAACAGGTGCCTCTCAGGCCTCTCCTGCTCCAGCAAGTGTGGAATATGCCTGTGCCCATGAGTGTAGACATCTGAAGTGTATACATTTGGCTGCTGCTTTTGCTGCCACTATTCCCAGGCCCAACCTGGCTTAAAGTCCAGGTTTTAAGTAAAAAGTAGGAGGCTTTTTGCCATACAGCTACTTGAGAGGCTGAGGTGAAAGCATCACTGGAGCCTAAGAGATTGAGGCTGCAGTGACCCATGATTCAGCCACTGCACTGACACAGTGAGACCTGCGTGTGCCCTTCTACAGAGAATAGCTCTGGGGCATTTGGGGTCCCTACAGTCCCGGACCCTCCCTGTCCCCTGCTGCCTGTGCTCCTTTCCTTGCCTGCTGTCAGAGCCTAACATGGAGGCGGTTGCCACCCTGTGAGCCTGAGGGAGCTGTGTCTGACTGGAACTTCTGTCTGGGGTTTTGCGAAGACCTACTTATGAATATGGTCTGTCCAGATACCTTGTTTCAAAGGAAGTGAGCATGAGCTAGCAAGTGTAGCCACCCCACAGCTGATAAACAACTTTGTCTTGTTTTTAAATCATCAATCTTCATTTCACATTGGAATAAAGTAAGTGAAACCTGCTACCCGAGCCTCGCCCGTGTGTTCTGTAACCCAGACTCATGTGGTTCTGAGGGCTGTTGTCAGAAATGTTATAAAAAGGTTATGCATAAATTAGATCAAATATAAAATTATGCTTATAATGTCACTTGAGTGGGAGGTAAGAGGGTAGAGTCACAGGAAATCTGTTGAGGTTTACACCCCTGCTACTTACCAAGCTCATGAGAGTGTGGCAGAGGTGATCATCACCTGATATTTGTGGCAGAAGAGAAAAGTCCAGCGTGAAGGCCAGGTAGGGGAGAGGTGCCAGGCTGTGGGGCCAGGCCCTGCGCATGCTGGGCCTGTTATGTCACTGAACATCTAACTGCCCGGGAAACGGCTCTTTTCACATCATCTGAGGTAAGAGGATGGAGAAGCACTCTCTAGAAGTCACACTACACTGGGAGAATGGAGGAGAGCCTACAACTCGCCATCCTAAGGTAGGTTTTAGATTGAGCTGGACTGTCTTCGAGAGCTAATGAGATGGGAGGAAGACAGTCCCCCAGGTGCACCTGACAGCTAGAGCCTATGAAGTTAGGGGGGTTGTGTGGGGGTGGCCTGTCCCTATGAGAGGAGGAGCTTAAAGCTACTAAAGCTGGTGGCTGCTACTCTGCCATCCCTCTACAGAGCAGGCAGGTCCTCAGCTGCATGTATAGCTGAATCTCTTTTGGAGTGTTAGAGAGTCCTCTATGTCTTAGAAATTTTGAAAAGAAAAACAAATCTCAATTTTAATGTTGATTAGTTTCTCTGAGCCAGTTGGGAAAAGAGATGTCCTTCACCTCAAAGGTTTAAGTGACACCGAAGGGTAGCCACCAGTGTCTCGGCCACTGAAGCCTCATGCATGCTCTCACTACCAGTTTGATTTGCAGCCCCATAGTTGTGTTGTACTAAATATTCTTTCCTCTGGCCTTGTCCAGTGAACACGGTTCACATGGCTAACACCACTTCTTGAGATGCGAGCACCATGCAAAGCTGAGAACGGATTGGGTTTTGTGACCATTGTGCCTCCTCCTCACCTGAGAGGCCCATTTTTCCTGGTTGATTCATTAAGTGTATTGGTGCTGTCAGTCGCCTCTGGACAATTCAAATGACAAGTGGCTGTTGATTCATAAAGAAAATGAAGGCTTTAGATGCGAAACCCTCGTTTTCTCTTGTCCTTCTCTTAGGTGAAAGATTTTATTTTTTTCAAAAGGCTACATACTGGTATCCCAGCAGGTGTAGTGTGAGAACTGGCATATGTTAGGCTATGGTGTCAGTGTGGATGGGCAATTCTTCAAGATGGAAAACCAAGTCTCACTGAGTTGCTGGAGCCACAGTGACCTTTCTCCACATCCCCCACCGTGGGCTTTCACTTTTCTCCTGTGCTTGAATTTTTTTCACATACAAATTCTTTATACACACACACAGACAGACACACACATATCTCACTCTGTCAATGCAGTGGCTGAATCATGGGTCACTGCATCTTCAAATTCTTAGGCTCCAGTGATGCTTTCAAATCAACCTCTCAAGTAGCTGGGACTACAGGCATGCAAAGCTACACCCAGACAATTTTTAAATATTTTTCTAGAGACTGAGCCTACTTATGTTGCTCAGACTCGTCTTGAACTCCTGGGATCAAGCGATCATCCCACCTTGGCCACCCAAAGTGTTTAGATTACAGGTATGAGCTAGCATTCTCAGCAAAAATATATTTTAAAGAACCGTTACAACCAAATTATGAGTTATCATTATGCCACTGCCCTCCAGCCTGGGCACCAGAGCAAGACCTTGTATCCAAAAACTAAGCAAAACTAAGCAAGAACAAAAAAAAAAACCTTATAACTAAATTAAACTTTGAAGATTGTGTCATCTGTGTCCTTCCCTGCCCTCCAAGCTATCAATGTTAAATATAATGGTTATTGAGAAAATGGTTAGATATTATTAAGAAATTTCTATATATCCTCCAGCTGAGAATAGGTATTCTGATGTGGCCCAAATATTTTCTCACCGCTACCTTCAGGGTCTAAACTAGCAAGTCAGGACACCTGCAGAGGACAGTTG
Organism: Homo sapiens; assembly: GCF_000001405.40. NCBI lineage: Eukaryota > Metazoa > Chordata > Mammalia > Primates > Hominidae > Homo > Homo sapiens. Next base: position 176,411 of record NW_021160026.1, on the reverse strand, counting down.
ACCATTTTCAAATAGAAAGAGAAATACCCCGTTCATGAGAGTAATCCAGTGATTTTCAAAAAGACAAGACACACTGACATCCAGCGCAGTCAGGGCACAATTACCTTGGAAAAATCACCTCACACAGAATGGTTGAGGAGACTTTCTAAGGTGAGCAAATTTGGGAAACATAATCCTTTCTTATTTATTTCCAGCCCCCGCTGCCCCCCTGATTCCTAATGGTCACACAACAGTGTGGTCAGCAGTGGGGTGCAGTGTTGTGAGAGAGGGGCTCAGGGATGGGATGAAGGTCTTTACCGCGTTACAAAAATGCAGGTTAAAAAGTTGCTAAAAAGATGTCTAAATATTCTAATTCGTACTGTTACATAGCTGCTAAGATGCATTATACAACAGACCCAGGTAAGGGAAAGAGCACGTGCATTTCAAGTCTCAGCTCACGTCTGAATTAGCTGTGATACTCTGGGCACGTGACCCCAAATATAGGAGCCTGTTTGCCTGTCAACCCAAAACAATCCTAAGCAAAAACAACAAAGCTTGAGGCATCCTGCTACCCGACTTCAAACTATACTACAAGGCTACAGTAACCAAAACAGCACAGTACTGATACCAAAACAGATATATAGACAAATGGAACAGAACAGAGGCCTCAGAAATAACATCACACATCTACAACCATCTGATCTCCGACAAACCTGACAAAAACAATCAATGGGGAAAGATTTCCTACTTACCAAATGGTGCTGAAAGAACTGGCTAGCCACATTCAGAAAACAGAAATTGTACCCCTTCCTTACACCTTATGCAAACATTATCTTAAGATGGATTAAAGTCTTAAATGTAAAACACCAAACCATAAAAACCCTAGAAGAAAACCTAGGCAATACCATTCAGGACATAGGCATGAGCAAAGACTTCATGAATAAAATACCAAAAGCAATCACAACAAAAGCTAAAATTGACAAATGAGATCTAACTAAACTAACGAGCTTCTGCACAGAAAAAGAAGCTATCACCAGAGTGACCAGGCAACCTACAGAGTGAAAGAAAATTTTTGCACTCTATCCATGTGTCAGAGGTCTAATATCCAGAATCTACAAAGAACTTAAACAAATTCACACACACACAAAAAAAAACCATCAAAAAGTGGGCACAGAATATAAACAGACTCTTTTCAAAAGAAGATATTTGGCTGGGCGCGGTTGATCAAGTCTGTAATCCCAGCACTTTCAGCCGTGGAGGCAGGTGGATCATGAGGTCAGGTGTTCAAGACCAGCCTGGGCTGCATGGCGACACCGCATTTCTACTAAAAACACAAAAAATTAGTAGGATGTGTTGGCGGGTGACCTGTAATCCCAGCTTCTGGGGAGGCTAAGGCAGGAGAATCACTTGAACCTGGGTGGCAGATGTTGCAGTGAGCCGAGATCCTTCCACTGCACTCCAGCCTGGGTGACAGAGCAAGACTCCATCTTAAAAATAATAATAATAAGTAAAATAAATAGAAAAAGAAGAAGGAGAAGGAGAAGGAGAAGAAGAAGAAGAAGAAGAAGAAGAAGAAGAAGAAGAAGAAGAAGAAGAAGAAGAAGAAGAAGAAGAAGAAAAGAAGAAGCAGAAGAAGAAGAAGAAGAAGAAGAAGAAGAAGAAGAAGAAGGGGACCTTTATGTGGTCAACAAACACAAAAAAGAGAAAAGCTCATCATCACTGGAGACTAGAGAAATGCAAATCAAAACCACAATGGGATACCTTCTCACACCATGTTGAATGGCAGTTATTAAAAAGTTAGGAAACAACAGATGCTGGTGAGGCTGTGGAGGAATAGAAACACTTTTACACTGCTGGAGGGAGTGTAAATTAGTTCAACCATTATGGAAGACAGTGTGGTGATTCCTCAAGGATCTAGAACCAGAAATACCATTTGATCCAGCAATCTCATTACTGGGTATATACCCAAAGGAATATAAATCATTCTAGCATAAAGACACATGCACTCATATGTCTATTGCACCACTGTTTGCAATAGCAAAGACTTGGAACCAACCCTAATGCCCATCATTGATAGATTGGAAAAAGAAAATGTGGCACATATACACCATGAAATAATATGCAGCCATAAAAAGAATGAGTTCATGTCCTTTGCAGGGACGTGGATGAAGCTGGGAACCATTAACCTCAGCAAACTAACACGGGAACAGGAAAGCAAACACCATATGTTCTCACTCATATGTGGGAGTTGAAAAATGAGAACACATGGACACCTGGAGCCAAAGATCACACACTAAGGCCTGTTAAGGGGTTGAGGTCAAGGGGAGGGAGAAAATTAGGACAAATACCTAATGCATATGGGGCTTAAAACCTAGATGGCAGGTTGATAGGTGCAGCAAACCACCATGGCACATGTAAAACTATGTAACAAACCTGCACGTTCTGCACATGTATTCCAGAACTTAAAAACAAACTAACAAAAGTGCACTAAGTCTGAGGGGGAGTGGGGGTAAGGGCAGGAGTCAGGCTCGGGTGGGTGCGTCCTGGAGTTTTATCCAGTCATTGACACTGATGTGGGAACCGCCCAATCAGGCGCGCTGTGGCAGAGGAGAGGAAAGGAGGGCGTGGCTTCCTGCATTTGGCGGGATCTGTGTCTCTCGCTGGTGCTGGCACAGGAACTTGGGATCCGTCTCCTCTTTCGCCTCCTGCACCTTGGGAGCCCTGGGCTACTCTCTCACAGCCCCTGTTGCCCTGTGATCTGTAGGTCCTTGGGGACGCATAGTCAAGGTGCCAGGACATCCTGGAAGCTGGGAAATGGTGAGTATACGGGGTTCGCCATCCCGAGAGGGGAGAACAGACTGTGAAACCGGCAGGACCGGCCTCCCCACGGTTAGCTCCGAGTCTCCCGCAGCTTGGCCCTCAGTCCCCTGTGGCTGCAAGATGGCCGCTGGGCCAGCAGCGAGGGCCCCACGTCCCGTCCGGCCCATCCGGTCCTGTCCCTGGGCAGCGCCCTGCTCTGCGCCCACAGCCATGAGTATTTCCCAGATTGTTCAGGGAGGCCTGGTGGGTCATCAGGGAAAATCCGCGACTGGGTGTTTGCGTGGGAGGAGCTGCGGCCCGTGGGGTCCCCAGTCTCTCTTGTTAAAAATTAACGGGAGTCTATGTTAAAAGGTTCATCAGTTTATCTGAACAAAGAGTGATTGGTGAAATGGAAAGCACCCAGCCATGATTTCTGGTCCACCAGAGGGGCATAAAGGAAAGGCTTTTATAAGATGCATGAGAAAGCAACCCAAATTCAAGAATTGGTTCCAGTTATATGGTAGCCTTATTTGAACTATCCAGATGGAAATGTCCTGGTTACATATTCAGAGGTTAATTGCATGTTTGTCATGGGTTAAACCTGCATTTTGCTTCAGGCTAAGATAGTGTTTTATAGGAAATATATTTGAGTTAGGTTTTAGATTTTTTTTTGTTTGTTTTTTGCTTTTTACCTATGAACACAGGGCACTAGAGCCACTTTAGACTAATTTTCTGCTCTTTAATTATTTTAACACTCCAGAGGAGGACTGGTTTTCTCCTGTGTTTTTTTAATGTATGGCAAGTGGAACCTCTAATCGACCACCCTGTTTTTCATCCTAACTCAGGCTTGCAGTAAAATTATCAGTTCCCACTTTCTTTGCTGCATTCTCAAATGCAACACATGAGACCAGCTTTCCCTTGCCAATTTACAATGCTGTTAACTATATGTCCTTTATTATACATTTCATTAAAGTTTTCTATTATTTGGTTTCTTTCTACTTCTCCCTACAGTTCTGGCAATATTTGCTTTTTATATTTAGAAGCCTCCCTTTTGGGTGCATAAATATATAAAGCTATATTCTCTTGAGAAATTAACCTCTATTATTATTCTATGGTAAACTCATTTCATGCTTGTGAGAGACATTGCTAGAAAGTCTATTTTGTCTAATTTAAGCATTACCGTTGCACTCCTTTGGTTATTGTTTGCATGGAATATCATTTTCTATCCTTTCACTTTTAGCCTATGCTCTTAATTCATAATTGAGTCTCTTGTAAGCAGCATATTACGAGGTTTAAAAGATTAATTTATCCACTCTGTCTGCTTTAGTCTCTTTTGGCTGCTATAACTGAATATCACACACTGGTAATTAATAAAGAATAGAATTTTATTTGACTTATGATTCTGGAGGCTGGGAAGCCAAAACAACATGATACTGGTATATGTTGAAGGTCTAGTTGCTGGATAATAACATAGACAAAGATGTGAGGGAGAGAGAGCTTTTTTTTTTAATATATAACAGATCCATTCTTGTTATAATTAGCCCATTCCCATAATAAGAACATTAATCCATTCATGAGGGCAGAGTTCTTAGAGCTTAATTAATTTTTAAAGGTTCCACCTCTTAATTCTAACATGTTGGCTATTAAATTTTATCCTAAATTTTGGAGATGACATTCAGTGTACAGCAGTATCTGTTTAGTAGATACTTTAATCTTTTTATTTGTAAGGTAGTGATAGGTAAGGAGTTACTATTGTAAATTTGTAGTTTTCTGTCCATTTTAAGTTTGCTTCTTTTTTTTCTGGTTCTGTCTTTCCTGTGGTATTGTTCATTTTTGTTGAGACAAAGTTATGCTTTCTTGCTCAGACTGAAGTGCAGTGGCATATCACAGCTCACTGTAGCTTCAACCTCCTGGGCTCAAATAATCCTCCCACCTTAGCCACCCAAGTAGCTTGGACTACAGACACGTACCACAACACCCAAGGAGATTTCATTCTTCCACCTTGGCCTCCCAAAGTGTTGGAATTATAAGCAGGAGACACCATATCCAATGTGTAATTTTTGTTGTTTGTGTATGCTTTAATTACTTTCTCTTTTTCTTTACTGCAGTTTTTTTTTCCTAGTGGTTATCATGAGACTTAGGTAAAACATCTTGTATTTTAATAGTCTAGTTTAAGATGATAACAATTTATAGTATTCTGAAATTCAGTATGTATTTACCATTTTAGTGACATTTATACTTTAGTATTTTTCATATTGTTAGTTAGCATTTCATCATATCAATGTGAAGATTTCTTCCAGACCATGGCTGGAGAAGGAAAGAAGGTGTGTTTTGCCTGACTCAGTGACTATAGAGAGAACCAAGTTCTGCAGGCCTGTCACCTAAGTCTCAGGTGAGTATGAATTCTCTTGTGTTTTTCACAGATTGTTGCAGTGGCAGGACCAAGGTCAAATGAGTTATAGCCAAGTCTACAGTAAGATGTGGCAGTATTCTGTTTTGAAGCCGGGACCATGATTGGCAAGCTTGCCACTTGGTCAAGTGCTCACCCTCTGAAAATGTCTTCCTTGGTCTTTGCCTCCAGCTGGGTGCCACAAACTCTGAACTGGATTCCAAGGCTTTCATGAATGCACTTATGTTTGCTGTGGCAGCTGCATTATGTCGTGGGGGATGTGGATGCAGAACCTCACATTCTGTCGTCTTGCTTATGTTACTCTCCTTTATGTTTCACTTTCTCAAATGAATGTCAAGCAGGTGATTTTCAGATTCAAAAGTTCTAAAATAAATTGCTCAAATTTATACATTATGTAAGCTGTTAATAAAATTTCTTGTAGGTGCTACATATTTGTTAAAATTTTTGGTTGTAATTTTAAGCTCACTGTAGGCAGAAAGGAATCATTAAGATTTCTATTCTTTTTTAGTCTGTATCTAAATGACCATATATTTTAATTCCAAATATTTACTTTATACTTCAGTAATGCTCATTGTATTTTGCAAAATTTATATTGTTCTTTTATTTGAAAATATAAGGCTTTTTTTAGCTCCTGAAAGCTATATTATAGTCATATAGTTTTATTATAGTATTTGATAAGAAGAGCAGCAACATATTGAGAACAGATAAAATTCTGCTGTCTTTTTAATGATTATTTATTAAATTCTTCTCATTAGAGCCTATTATTAATGATTGTAATGTATTTACTGTATAATTTTTCTGCAATTTATTAAATGCCAATGACTTCCAATGTCTGCTTTTCATGACTGCACACAGTTTAAAGCTGTAGATATCTAATGGGTTATTTTTCAGCCCGGCATGGTGGCTCACGCCTGTAATCCCAGCACTTTGGGAGGCCAAGGTGGGTGGATCACGAGGTCAGGAGATCAAGACCATCCTGGCTACCACGGTGAAACCCCGTCTCTACTAAATATAGAAAAAATTAGCCGGGCATAGTGGTGGGTGCCTGTATTCCCAGCTACTCGAGAGGCTGAGGCAGGAGAATGGCGTGAACCCAGTGGGCGGAGCTTGCAGTGAGCCGAGATGGCACCACTGCACTACAGCCTGGGCGACAGGGTGAGACTCTGTCTCAAAAAAAAAAAAAAAAAAAGGGGCTTATTTTTCATTGTATATTTATGTTGTATTCAGGATTTTATGCATTTAATCTCTCTTCTTATGTTCAATTCTGTGTTGTTGTGTTTCTTTTCTTGGGGGGGTATGTTTTCTCAGATCAGTTAATTGTATTTTTGCTTTTAAAGCTTGATATCGTGAGTTGAATGATAATTTTTTAACTCGGTACACTTTATGACAATGTGATATTTAATTTATATGTGAATTAGCCGTGTTTGTTGCTTATACATATATCTATGTGTTTTTCACCTATGTATGTCATTTTTTTCATCTTTTTTCCTTGTTTTTTTTTTTAAGTTTCAGATACGCTTTCTTTTTCTTTTTTTTGTTTTTTTCTTTTAAAGAGAATTTTAAAACAGAGTCAAATGAACAAAAATCAGTTATTCGTCCTCTTGCAGGGTGGGTAGACCTTCCTTCCCCACGGGTTTGAGGCTATGGCTAAGTGGTGAGCCTTGGGGAGATGCAGGAAGGATCCATCCCAGGCACTTGGCTAGAGGTAAGTAAAAATAGCCTTTGGACCAGAAGACCTGATAGTTTGGGTACTCGTCTGAACATAAGTCCCCATCTTCCCAGAAATGTCGTCTTTTGTCTGCAACAACTGGCTGGAGAAATATTTCAGAAAGATGTGTGCCTGGAACACCCAAAGACGTACCTTTCCTTTCTCTTTGGCATAGGCCTTGTAGCACTGTAGAAAGACCAGGTTTGCAATGGAGCCTTCAATACTCTTCATCCCTATGGATCTCAGGGGCTCATAGGGTGACAGGAGAGGAGACAAGCTAGCTTGGGAAGAGTCTTTGTACTTCAGCTTCTCCCCTACTGAAACACTATATACTTGGGGCCACAGTTCATCACAAAACACACATGCTCTCTTTCTTTCTCTCACACCCACATCTTGGGAACCCAACAACTTGATGGCAGGTAGCTCTGGGTATCCTTGGTCTGGCATTCACCCACTGGGAATCTAAGCTGTCCTAAAGCTCTTTTCAATCACTTCTCACTCTTTCCAGGCCCATGTGGGTAGGTGTTCCAGCCTTCACTCTTTCAGGCTGATCATAGAGGCACAGTGTGGGAAAATCCCCTACTGTGATGGCCATTGCTGGGAAGCAGGGAAGGTTAAGGGCCCACTGCTGCCCAAGGCTAGTGTAGACACCCTCTGCTCCTCCACTCATCTCCTCAAAGAATGATATCAGGTGCAGCAGCTGCTGTCTGGAATGTTATCAAACCAGGACTGCACAGGCACTGCATTCTCTGTGTGGAAGATGTAAGAAGCAGGCGAGTTGTCCAGGATGAGTTTTCCTCAGGTCCCTCCCCAGATGGCTGACGTCCTTGACATAGCAGCCCTGGTGAAACAAACATGACTCATGGGACAGGCAGCCCCAGACCATCCCATACCCGTCCAGCTCACCCGTCACAGGATCTGCCTACTTGTTCAGGCTGGGAAGAAGAGAGCAATGATGGAAACACATTTAAACATTCCCTCCATTCATGTCAGGAACTCATCCATATAAGGCCTCATGAGCACATGGATCTGGTGCATGGTCCCCTCAAGCTCTACAGGCACTAGGCAGTCAGCATTGCTGATTGGCTTAAAGGAGCTATGCACAAGGGTTTCATCCAGGTCAGTGACCATACAGATCCTTCCTTGATTTTTCTCTGTCACCTCTGGGAGCAGGCAGGTTCCTGGGATCTGATAAAACTGATATTGGAGACGCTGGAGCTGATCCGACATAGCAATGGTGTTGACTCTCTCCTTATGTGTGGATTGCTCAGCGGGGGAACTTGACTGTCCAACATGCTGGGTGCAAGAACAGCAGAAAGGGGACTTTTAAGATGTGGCAAACATGAGGCCTCTTCGGAGAGGACTTTGGAAACCAGGCCTTGCTTGGTAAGGACCAGGGCATCTTCCCTCCATGCCTGGGTGATGATGGAGCCTTGTGCCATCTAACAATCCTGAGGGCTGGGCTGGCTGGGTGGGAAGACTGGCAAGCACGCTGGCTGGACTGGGCTGGGGGGCATGGGCTGGGGCCTGATTCAGTTCCCGAGATTCTGACCTCCACAGCTGTCCACATACCCCTTCTCCTTTCCATACTGGCCGGGAAGGGAGGTGGCTTGTAGGGAGGGTGGTTGGCCTTGGCAGCGGCTCCCCAGTGTGTCCCCATCCCCGATTCCCCCAGCGAGAGCTTCAAGATCCTCAGTTTGGGTCTAACATAGAGAATCCACCAGAAACACATTTTTTTTTCAAGTTTTATTTTAAGTTCAGGGGTCCATATGTGATAAAGTTTATTTTTCAACTTTTATTTTTTTAAGTTTAGGGGTCCATGTGCAGAGTATGCAGGTCTCTTACATACATAAATGCGTACCACTGTGGTTTACTGCACAGATCATCTCATCACCCAGGTACCAAGCCCAGCATCCGCAGCTATTCTTCCTGATGCTCTTCTTCCCCTCCCCCATGCCATGAAACAGGTGTCCAGTGTGTGTTGTTCTTCCTGATGTGTCCATGTGTTCTCATTGATCTGCTTCTGCTAATAAGTTAGAATAATAATAGGCGGTGTTTGGTTTTCTGTTCCTGCATTAGTTTGCTGGGAGTAATGGCTTCAAATTCCAACCATGTCCCTGCAAGGGACATCATCTCATTACATTTTATGGCTTCATAGTGTTCCATGGTGTATGTGTACCACATTTCCTTTATCCAGTGTATCATTGATGGGCATGTAGATTGATTACATGATGTTGCTATTGTAAATAGTGCTGCCATGAACATTTGTACACATGTATTTTTAAAATAGAATTATTTATATTCCTTTGGGTGTAATGGTATTGCTGGGTCAAATGGTAGTTCTGCTTCTAGGTCTTTGAGGAATCTCCACACTCTCTTCCTCAATGCTTGAAATAATTTACACTCCCACCAACAGTGTAAAAGTGTTCCCTTTTCTCCACAACCTCGCCAGCATCTGTTTTTTTTTTTTTACTTTTTATTAACAGCCATTATAATTTGTGTGAGATGGTATCTCATTATGGTTTTTATTTGTATTTATCCAGTTATCAGTGATGTTGAGCTTTTCATGTTTGTTGGGCACATGTATGTCCTCTTTTGAGATATGTCTGTTCATGTTCTTTGACCCTTTTTTAATGGGGCCTTTTTTTTTTCTCTTGTAAATTTTGTTAAATTCCTCCTAGATTCTGGATATTAGACATTTGTGAGATGGATAGTTTGCATAATTTTTCTCCCATTCTCTAAGTTGTCTGCTCTGATGATAGTTTCTTTGGCTCCGCAGAAGCTCTTTAGTTTAATTAGACCCCATTAGTCAATTTTTGCTTTTGTTGCTATTGCTTTTTGCCTTTCTGTCATAAAGTCTTTTCTCATGCCTATATCCTGAATGGTATTATCTAGATTTTTTCTTCTAAGGGTTTTATAGTTTTGGGTTGTACATTTAAGTCTTTAATCCATCTTGAGTTAATTTTTGTATATGGTGTTAGGAAGGGTTCCAGTTTAAATTCTCTGCATATGGGTAGCCAGTTCTCCTAGCACCATTTTTTGAATAGGGAGACCTTTCCCTAATTCCTTGTTTTTGTTGACTTTGTCAAAGATCAGGTTGTTGTAGGTTTTTGGCTTTATTGCTAGGTTGTCTACTTTGTTTCATTTGTCTATGTGTCTGTTTCTATACCAGTACCATGCTGTTTTTGTTACTGTACTCTTCTAGTATAGTTTGAAGTTAGGTAGAGTGACACTTCCAGCTTTTTTTTTTTTTTCTTAAGGTTGGCTTGGCTATTTGGGCTCTTTTTTGGTTCCATATGAACTTTAAAGTTTTTATTTTTCTAATTCTCTGAAGAATGTCAGTATCAATGGGAATAGCATTATATCTATGAATTACTTAGGGCAATATGCCCATATTCATGATACTGATTCTTCCTCTCCATGAGCATGGAATGTTTCTCCATCTGTTTTGTGTCCACTCTGATTTCTCTGAGCAGTTGTTTGTGGTTCTCCTTGAAGAGGTCCTTCACTTTCTTTCTTAGCTGTATTCCTAGGTATTTTTTTCTCTTTGTAGCAAATGTGAATGAAAGTTCATTCATGATTTGTCTCCCTGCTTGCCTGTTGTTTGTGTATGGGAATGCTAGCTACTTTTGCACATTGATTTTATATCCTGAGATTTTGCTACTATTGCTTATCACCTTAAGAAGCTTTGGGCCTGAGACAATGAGGTTTTCTAGATGTAGGATCAGGTCATCTGCAAACAAAGATAATTTGACTTCCTCTCTTTCTATTAGAATACTCTTTATTTCTTCCTCTGGCCTGATTTTCCTGGCCAAGGCTTCTGATACTATATTGAATGGTAGTGGTGAGAGAGGGCATTCTTTTCTTGTGCCAGTTTTCAGGTGGAACGTTTCCAGCTTTTGCACATTCAGTATGATATTGGCTGTGGGTTTGTTGTATATGGCTCTTATTATTTTCAGGTATGCTTCTTCACTTCCTAGTTTATTGAGAATTTTAAACCTGAAGGAATGCTGAATTTTATTGGATGCTTTTTCTGCATTTATTGAGATAATCATGTGGTTTTTGTATTTAGTTCTCTTTATGTGATGAGTCACATTTATTGATTTGCATATGTTGAATCAACCTTGCATCCTGGGGACAAAGCCAACTCCATTGTTGCGGATGAACTTTTTAATGTGCTGCTGGATTTGGTTTGCCAGTATTTTATTGAGGATTTTTGCACAGTGTTTACCAAAGACATTGGCATGATGTGTTGTTGTTGTTGTTGTTGTTGTATCTATGTTAGGTTTTGGTATCTGGATGATGCTGGCCTGATAGAATGAGTTAGAGAGAACTTCTTTGTCTTCAATTTTTTTTGGATGGTTTTAGGAGAAAAGGAACCATCTCCTCTTTGTACCTCTGCTCAAATTCAGCTTGCTTGGTAGGCTAGTTTTTACTGCCTCAGTTTCAGAACACATTATTGATCTATTCAGGGTTCAGTCTTGTGGAGGGTTTATTTTGCAAGGAAATTGTCTATTTCTTCTAGATTTTCTGGTTTATGTGCATACATATGTTTATAGTGTTCTCTGATGGTTGTTCATATTTCCATGGGATCAGTGATGATATCTCCCTTATTATTTCTAATTGTGTTTGGTTCTCCTTTCTTTTCTTATTTATTTGCCTAGCTAGTGTTCCATCTAGTTTATTAATTTTTTTCATAAAAACAGCTCCTGGATTTGTTGACTTTTTTTTTTTGGAAGAGTTTTCAGTGTCTCTATCTCCCTCAGCTCTACTTTGATCTTGGTTATTTCTTGTTTTCTGCTACCTTTCTGGTTAGTTTTCACTTGGTTTTCTAGTTCTTTTAATCAACATGTTACGCTGTTAATTTTAGATCTTTCTAGTTTCTCTTTTTTTTTTTTCTTGTGGCAGAGTCTCACTCTGTCACCCAGGCTGGAGTACAGTGGCATGATCTCCGCTCACTGCAACCTCCACTTCTCAGTTTTAAGTGATTTCTGCTGTCTCAGCTTCCTGAGTAGCTGGGATTACAGATGTGCATCACAAAAACCAGCTAATTTTTGAATTTTTTTTGTAGAGGTGGGGTTTTGCTGTGAGGTCCAGACTGGTCTTGAACATCTGGCCTTAAGTGATTTGCCTACCCCAGCCTCCCAAAGTGCTGGAATTACAGGCATGAGCCACCACACCCAGCCCTTTCTAGCTTTTTGATGTGGACATTAGTGCTATAAATTTCCCTCTTTTCTTAGTTTCCAGTGATTATTTATTCTATCTTGGTGAGTCCATCAGGGAAATAATCTAAATTTACAATCAACATAATAGTTTAAATCCATATAATTGTGTGAGAAGAACCCTTTGTTATTTGAAGGTGATGTTTGAAAGATTTTCTAACTGTGCCTTTTAGTTAGTCTTAAATTTCTAATTGTAGTTAAAAACATGCCATTGTCATTTCTGACATTTTAAGTATATGGTTTAGAAGTGGTTAGTATAGTTCTATTGTTTTTGCAGTAGGTTTTAGATAATTTGTGTCTTACAAAAGTAAAAGTGAATACTCATTACTTATTGAAAGAAGTTAGTTAGCTTGCCTTAGGTAGATAGCAAGAGAAGAGTCCCTGGAAATTCCTGGTCAGTGCCTCATCCCTGGCATAACATATAAAGAAGCCTGGAAAAAATCAAGCTGCAGACACTAACAAGGAAACTAGCATATGTTGTTGTGCTTGGAGACATGCCCGTGGCTGCAGAGATAGAAAACCTCTGGCCCATTTGGATAAAAACTTGTACAAACCTCCAGCTCACTCAGATAAAGGAACAAGAACGACCTAGCACAGAAATGCCTTTGTTTGGCCAGCCACGGTGGATCATGCCTGTAATTCCAACAATGTCGGAGGCAGCTGTGGGCGGATCATCTGAGGTCGGGAGTTTGAGACCAGCATGACCAAGATGGACAAACCCTGTCTTTACTAAAAATACAAAACTAGCCAGGCATGGTGCTGCATGCCTATAATCCCAGCTACTTGGGAGGCTGAGGCAGGAGAATCGCTAGAACCCAGGTGGTGGAGGTTGCTGTGAGCCGAGATCGCACCATTGCACTCCAGGCTGGGCAACAAGAGCAAAACTGCAAAAAAAAAAAAATAAAAATAAAAAAGAAAGTACATCTCAAAAAAAAGAAAGAAAGACAAGAAAAAAAAAAAAAAAAGAAACACCTTTGTCTTTGTACAGTCAGTGGGCTCCCAGGAAAATGTTCCTTCTCTTTTTGTTGGCATGGGCACTGTGGGATCTGGTACATTCCGGTAGACACTCTCCTTTATTTGGACTGTAAGTCTGACCTCTATGAATAATTACTTCAGCCCCTGATTGCTCCCGTTCCAAGCTCCTTGGCCAAACTTTCACCTTAGCTTCTGGTAAGTCTTGGGCCAAGCTAAGCAGCATCTATCAATCATCCCTTCAGCTCCTGATTGGTCCTGGGCCAAAGGCCTGGGCCAAGCTGAGCCACACGTTTTTCAAGACAGCCTGTGAACTAGGCACATTTCCTTCCCTTCCCAGTCCTTAAAACCCTGGACCCAGCCTCGTAGAGGGCACCACTTTCAGATACCTATCTCTGCTGGCAAAGAGCTTTCTTCTCTTGCTTCTTAAACTTTCACTCCAACCTCACCTTTGTGTTTACACTCCTTAATCTCCTTAGAGGTAGAACAAAGAACTCTGGATGTTATCTCAGACTACGAGAGACTGTTACATCTTGGTGCACTGCTGAGACTATGACACTTGGTTTCTTTGAGTTTGACTAAATATTTTACATGAGTGTAATTATACAGCTTTCCTTTTTGACTGTCTTATTTTACTTAACAGAATGTTTTGAATATTTGTCCTTATTGTAGTGCTTTTCAAGATTTCCTTATTTTTAAGGCTGAATGCTATCCCAGTGATTGTACTTGCCCTGTTTGCTGAATCTACTCATCCTTAAGGGTACATTTGCTTCCAGGTAACATGTTTGTGAGTAATACTACAATGTGCATATATCTATTCCATGTTCTGCTTTGTCTGTTTGGGATATTTTTCAAACACTGATTCAGTACCATGTGTATTCCCTTGCTTTTGTTGTCTCATCCGTTGATGTTACGTCCCCCAAATTATTGCCAGGACCAGTTGTCATGAAGCTTCACCCTCCTGTATTGTGCTAGGAATTTTACAGCTATAGGTTTTACATTATAGTCTTCATTCATTTTTTAAAATTGACACATACAATTGTGCATATTTTGGGGAAACAATTATATATATATGTTGTATAACAATAAAAATCAGAGTACTTCTATACTTGTTGCCTCATGCATTTGTTATTTTTGTGGTGAGAATATTCAAAAGCTTCTTCTCTAGCTATTTTATTTTATCTTTACGTATTAAATTTTTTTAGAGACAGGATCTTGCTCTAACACCCAGACTGGTGTGCAGTGGTGCAATCTTAGCTCACTGTAACTTCAAACAGTCTTCTAACCTTAGTTTCCCAATTAGCTGAGACTACAAGAAGCTGCCACCATGCCTGGCTAATGTTTTAATTTTTCATACAGACGGGGTCACACTATGTTGTCCAGGCTCATCTTGAACTTCTGACGTCAAGTGATTCTCCTACCTCAGTCTCCCAAAATGTATGGATTGCAAGAATGTGCCACCACAACTGGTCTCTTTTAGCTATTTTGTAATATGAGATAACTTTTCATTAATTATTATTATTCTGCTGTGTAATAAAAAACAAAAACTTATTTCCCCTATCTAATCATAACACAATACCTGTGAAGCAGCCTTTTCCCATCCTCCTGCTTCAGTCTCTGGTAACCCCTGTTGTACTCTTTGCTTCTATCAACCCTTTTTTTCAGGTTCCTCAAATGAGTGAGATAATAAGATCATAAAGTATTTGTGTTTCTCTGTGTGGCTTATTTTACTTAACATGGTATGCTCAAGGTTCATCCATGCTCTTTTTAACTGACAGAATTTTATGCTTTCTTATGGCTGAATAGTATTTCGCTGTGTATATATAGTACATTTTCCTTATCCATTTATCTGTTGCTGTACATTTGAATTGATTCCATATATAAGCTATTATAAATAGTTCTGTAATGAACATGGGAATGCAAATATCTTTTTGACACAGTAATATCCTTTCTTTTGGATATACACCCAGAAGTAAAATTGCTGGATCATATAATAGATATATTTTTAATTTCTTTCAGAAACCTCCATACTATTTTCTATAATGGCCATACTAATTTACAATTCCACCAACAAGGTATACATCCACTCTTTTTTATATCCTTATTAGTTCTTGATTTATTTATTTATTTATTTTTATTATAGCCATTCTAATGGGAATGAGGTGGTACTTCATTGCAGTTTGGATTTGCATTTCCTTGGTGATTAGTAATGTAGAGCATCTTTTTGTGTTCCAGTTAGCCATTTTTGTATCTCTTTTTGACAAACATCTATTAAGATCTTTTGCATTTTTTAAATTAGATTATAAGTGTATTTTATTTTGAGATTTTAAAGTTTCTTATATATTCTGAATATTAGCCTTTTGTCACATGTATATGAAAACATTTTCTGTCATCGCCTAAGCTGTCTCTTCAAACTTTTAGTTGTTTTTTTAATATGAAAAAGCATTTTAGTTTGACATAATGTTGTTTGTTTATTCTTGATTTTGTTGCCCATGTTTTGAAATCTTATTTTAATAATCCTTTCACCGTCCAATGTTATAAAGCATTTTTTTATGTTTTTCTCTAATAGTTTCATAATTGATGGCATTACATTTAAGTCTTTAGTTTTAGTTGATTATCATATATGGCAAGGTACAAGGGTCTAGTATTATTTTTCTGAATATAAATATTTAAATGGCCCTGCACCATTTATTAAAGAGATTAGCTTTTCTCTAAAGTGTGTTCTTGGTAATTTTGTTGACAATCTGTTGGCTTTAGGTGCATAAATTAACTTCCGGGCTTATTGGGCACATTAGTCTATGTGTTTGTTTTTATGCCAGTACAGTGCTGTTTTGGTTACTGTAGCTTTATAGCAAGTTTTGAAGTTTGATGAAGTGATGCCTTCAGCTTTGCTTATTTTGCTCAAAGTTGCTTTGTCTATTCAGAGTTTTTTGTGGATCTATATAAATTTAAATTTTTTTATTTCTGTGAAAAAATGTCATTGGTATTTTGATAAAAATCACATTAAGTCTGTAGATCACTTTGGGTAGCTATATCAACAGTATTCTTCCAGTGTATAAACACAATATTTTTTATTTATTCATTTGTATTTTATATTTTTTATCCATGTTTTGTCGTTTTCAGAGTAGAGATCTTTTACCTTTTTAGTTAAGTTTGTTGC
The DNA here is from genome assembly GCF_000001405.40 of Homo sapiens. Lineage (NCBI taxonomy): Eukaryota > Metazoa > Chordata > Mammalia > Primates > Hominidae > Homo > Homo sapiens. Next base: position 160,161 of record NW_021160026.1, on the reverse strand, counting down.
TAGGTGTATTAGTTGGGCTTCCCTAGAGAGATCATGAGATCCCACAATAGGTTGGTTGTCTGCAAGTTTGAGGAGCAAGGAGAGGCGGTCCATGTCCCAAAGCTGAAGAACTTGGAGTCTGATGTTTGAGGGCTGCAAGTGTCCAGCACAGGAGAAAGATGTAGTCTGGGAGCTTAGGCCAGTCTCTCTTTTTCACGTTTTTCTGCCTGCTTTATATTCACTGTCAGCTCATTAGATGGTGCTCACCCAATTAAGAGTGGATCTCCCTTTCCCAGCCCACTGACTCAAATGTTAATGTCCTTTGGCAACACCCTCACAGACACACCCAGGATCAATGCTTTCTATCCTCCAATCCAATCAATTTGACACCCTGTATTAGCCATCACATTAAGTATTTTCATTTTTGTAGCTTTTGCATATGCAGAAGAAGAATTGGATGAAATTCAGCCTTGATTATGATGAAAACTCTCAACAAGTTAGGAATAGAAGGTATGTGCCTTAACTCAATAAAGGCCATTTATGAAAAAGCAATGCTAACTTTATACTGAATAAGGAAAAGTTGAAAGCTTTCTCTCTGAGATCTGGAACAAGACAAATCGTCCAAACTTTCAGCCCTCTTATTCAACATAGTACTGGAAGTCCTAGCCAAGGAAATTAGGCAAGAGGAAGAAATAAAAGTCATACTAATTGAAAGGATGAAGTCAAATGGTCTCTGATTGTGGACAAAATAATCTTATATGTGAAAAACTCTAAACACTACACCAAAAACTATTAGAACTACTAAACAAATTCTGTAACATTGCAGAAAATTAACACAGTAGTAGCTTTCTGTATGATGATAGCGAACTATCTGAAAAATAAAATTATAAATTCCATTTTAATAGCTACCAAAAATTAGTTATTTTGAGTTTATTTCTTTATTTGTGGTGGAGTCTTTCTCTGTCACCAGGCTGGAGCGCAGTGACATGATCTCAGCTCACTGAAACTCTTGCCTCCCGGATTCCAGAGATTCTCCTGCATCAGCCTCCTGAGTGTCTGGAACTGCAGGCATGTGCCACCACCGCCAACTAATTTTTGTTTGTATTTTTAGTAGAGACGTTGTTTCCCCATGTTGGCCAGGATGGTCTTGATATCCTGACCTTGTGATTCACTTGTCTCAGTCACCCAAAGTGCTGGGATTACAGGTGTGAGCCACCACACCCAGCCTTGAGTTTATGTTTTTATCTGTTGCAAGTTAAGGTCTAACTTTGTTATTTTTTCCTTGTAAATTTTTATTATTCCCAATACTGTTTGTTGAAGAGACTGTTCTTTCCTGTTTGTGATTCTTGGAACACATTTTAAAAATATGTTTACTATACCCATGAGGACTTATGTCTGGACTCTCTCATCTGTTTCATCATTCATTTGTCTTTATGTCAGTACCAAACTGTTTTGATTACTATATGTTCATAGTATGTTTAGAAAATAGAAAGTATGATGCCTCTGTCTTTATATTTTTTTCCCAATATTGTTTGGCTGTTTGTGATCACTTGAAATTCCATAAAAATTGTAGAATATTTTAAAACTTCTGCAAAAAGTTTCATTGGTATTTTGATAGAAAGTATATTGAATCAGCTGAGGGTTGTGGCTCATGCCTGTAATCCCAGCACTTTGGGAGGCTGAGGAAGGTGGAACACCTGAGGTCAGGAGTTCCAGACCAGCCATGGAGAAACCCCATCTCTACTAAAAATACAAAATTAGCCAGGTTTGGTGGCACTTGCCTGTAATGCCAGCTACTCAGGAGGCTGAGGCAGGAGAACAGCTTGAACCCAGGAGGTGGAGGCTGCAGTGAACTGAGATCACACCATTGCACTCCACCTTGGGCAACAAGAGCAAAACTCCGTCTCAAAAGAAAAAGAAAGAAAAGAAAAGAAAGAACATTGAATCCGTAGACCACTTTTGGTAGTAGTGACATTTTAACAATATTAAGTCTATAACCTCTTGAACAAGAGTGTGTTTGAGAATTTGTTGTTTAATTTTTACTTATTCTTTGACATGCTAGTGTTTTTAACTTCTTGTTTTATTGTATCATAGTTAGGAATAATTTGTGTAATTCCATCTGCTGAAATTTGCTAAGATGTGTTTTTTAACTTAACAGGTGGTCTATCTGGAATATTGTGGCATGTGTGATTAAAAGTATTGCATATTCTACTGTTGAGTGGACAGATATAAATGTGACTGTTAGGTCTAATTGTTCTATTGTGTTGTTGAAATCCTCTGTTTACTTATTCATCTTATGTTTGTTTTTTAATTTACATTACTAAAAGTCTGATAAAAAAGTCATCTACTGTTATGTGCTGGCTACTTCATGTTTCAATTCTGTAAAATGCTGCTTCATATTTTGGGAACTGTGATGTAAGGCACACACATTACTGTTGCTTTTATTGTTGCATGTTGTTTTATTGTTGTTGCTTTTATTGATATATGTTGTTTTTTGTTGCTTTTATTGTTGTTGTTGTTATTGTCCTTTTCTTCTTGTCTCTTGAGGAAGTTTTTGATATAATATATATTTTGTCTACCATGACAGTATTTGATTTTGCATTTAATTTTTTTTATTCTTTCATGTATGGCTTATGCATGTTCCAGATCATAATGTGGTCATTTGTAGGAAGCAGAGAGTTGAATCTTGTTTCATGAATTTATTTAGTGAAAGTATGTTTTTGATTGACATAATTTATATATATAAAAAATCATTACTAAAAGGGAATAATTTCCTATGACTTTCTATTTAATTTTGTTTCTTTTTTGTTTTAGGTCCTGTAGCTTTTTCTTTTGAGACGGAGTTTTGCTCTGTTGCCCAGGCTGGAGTGCAGTGGTGCAATCTTGGCTCCCTGCAAGCTCCGCCTCCCGGATTCACGCCATTCTCCTGCCTCAGATTCCCCAGCAGCTGGGAATTCAGGCACCTGCCACCATGCCCGGCTATTTTTATTTTTATTTGTTTATTTTTTTTAGTAGAGACAGGGTTTCACTGTGTTAGCCAGGATGGTCTCAATCTCCTGACCTCGTTGATCCACCCACCTCGGCCTCCCAAATTGCTAGGATTACAGGCGTGAGCCACCGCTCCTGGCCGGTCCTGTAGCTATTATTTCCTGTTTTTCTCTCTTGTTCTCTTTCTTAGCGTATTATTGATTTTTATAGTGACATGTTTTACTTCTTTTCTCACTACTCTCTCTGTGTGTATGTCTTTGTGTGTGTGTACTATAGGTATTTCCTTTTTTTTTTTTTTTTTGACAGGGTCTTGCTCTGTCGCCCAGGCTGGAGGGCAGTGGCACAATATCTGCTTATTGCAAGCTCTGCCTCTCAGGCTCAACTCAAACAATCCTCCCACCACAGCCTTCTGAGTACCTGGGACCACAGATGTGCACCAGTACTCCTGGCTAATTTTTGTTATTTTTCATAGAGACAGGGTTTTGCCATGTTGCCCAGACTAGTCTCAAAATCCTAAGTACTATAGGTATTTTCTTTGTTGTTACTATAGATATTACCAAAAATAACTACTATAGCATATAAAACCCTGCCTCTTTATGGCTGCCTATGTGTTTTATTGATGTCGCGAATTACATCATTTTGTATTGTGAATCTATTGGCACAGTTATATAGTCATTTTTAAGTCTTTGTTATCTCAACTACATAGCAGAATTAAAAGTATTCTGTGCATCTTCATTATAATAACAAAAATATTATAATTGTGTACATAATTATCTGTTAGAAAACTTTATATTTTACATAATTCTATGTTGCTCTCATCATTATTTTATTTTTTAATGTCAATGACTAGCATTTTTTTATACAGGCCTACCGTGCATAAATTAATACAGTTTTCGTTGATCTTGAATATTCTTTATTTTTATTTTTTAATTCATTTGAAATGATAGCTTTGGCAGACATAGTGTTCTTGGTTGGTACTTGCCATTTTTTTCAGCACTTTGAGTATGTCATCCTACAACCTCTTGCCTGCATGCTATTGGCTGAGACATCTGCTGGTCATCCTATAGGGGTAACATTGTACATGCTAAGTCATTTTTTCTTGCTGACTTCAAGATTCTCGGTGTTTTAACATTTGAATCTCTGATTAAAATGTGTCTTGTCATGGGTCTCCCTGTGTTGCTACTAGTTGGTAAAGTTTCATTAAATTTTAGGCCATTTTCTCCCTCAAATTTTGAGAGTTCTCAGCCACTGTTTGTTTCTTGAAATAACTTTGCTGCTCTCTTTTCTCTCTTTTTATTTTAGAATTCCCATTAGAAGTATATTGGCCATCTTAATGGTATCCCATAAGTCCCTTAGGCTTTCTTAATTTTTAAAATTATTTTTACCCTCCTCACCATATAATTTCAAAAGACTTCTTATGAAGCTTGCTGGATTTTTTCCTGCTAGATCAAACCTGTTGTTGGACCTTCTAGTGAATCTCTAAATTCAGGTATTTTATTTTTCAGCTCCACACTTTATGTTTCTATTTTGTACTTTTAATCACTTCGTTGATAATCTCATTATCTTCATGAATTGTTTTCTTTTTCTGTTTAGCTTTCTATGTTCTTGTTTAGCTGAATGAGTATCTTTAAGCTAGGTGTTTTAGCGAGGCACAATGATATGTGTGTCTAATTCCAGCTACTTTGAAAGCTAAGACAAGGGGATTACTGTATTAATAAATTCTCATGCAGCTAATAAAGACATAACCAAGACTGGATAATTCATAATGAAAAAGGTTAATGGCCTCACAGTTTCACATGGCTGGGGAGGTCTCACAATTATTGGAGCAAGCAAGAGACTTTGTTCAGAGGAATCTCCACTTATAAAACCATCAGATCACGTGAGACTTTTTTGCTATCATGAGAACAGCATGGGAAAATCCCACCCCCATGATTCAATTACCTCCCACAGAGTACCTCCCAGGACATGTGGAGATTATTACAATTCAAGGTGAGATTTGGTTGGGGACAGAGAGCCAAACCATATCAATTACTTAAGGCTAGGAGTTTGAGACCACCCTGGGCAATATTGTGAGAAGCTATATGTAAAAAATATTTTTACAGATTAATCATGAATGGTGGAATGTTCCTGTAGTCTCGGAAGTTGGAGGCTGATGTAAGATTATTCCTTGAGTTCCCAGGAATTTGAGGCTGCATTGAGTTATAACCATGATATTGTATTCCTGTCTGGGTGAGAGAGTAAGACCGCCTTTTAGAATTTCAAATTTGTTTTAGATTTAGGAGGTACCTACACAGGTTTTTTACATGGGTATTTTGTATAGTGCTGAGGTTTGAAATATAAGTAATTCCATCACTTATGCAGTGAGCATAGTACTAAATAGACAGTTTTTCAGTTCTTGATCCCTCCCTCTCTCCACCCTCTAAGAGTTGTCTTTTATTTTTATTTTTATGTCCATGTGTACCCAGTGTTAATTTCCATTTATAAGTGAGAACATCAGTATTTTTGTTTTCCATTTCTGCATTAATTTGATTGTAGAATGACCTTTAGTTGTATTAATGTTGCTGCAAAGGACAAGTTTTTTTGTTGTTGTTGTTGTTTTTGCTAAGTAGTATTGCTGTACATGTGACACTTTTTAAATTCAATTTAGCATTAATAGGCTGGACACGGTGGCTGATGCCTGTAATCCCAGCACTGTGGGAGGCCAAGGTGAGTGGATCATGAGGTCAGGAGATCGAGACCATCCTGGACAGCATAATGAAACCCCCGTCTCTACTGAAAATACAAAAGTTAGCCGGACGTGTTGTCATGAGCCTGTAGTCCCAGCTACTCGGGTGGCTGAGGCAGGAGAATTGCTTGAACCTGGGAGGTGGAGGTTGTAGTGAGCTGAGATAGTGCCACTGCACTCCAGCCTGGGCAACAGAGTGAGACTTCATCTCAAAAAAAAAAAAATACCATTAATAGTCACGTAGGTTGATTCATGTCTTTCCTGTTATAAATAATGCAGTGATGAACCAACAAGTGCATGTGCTGTTTTGGTAGAATAGTTTATTCTCTTCTGGGTATACACCCAGCGGTGAAATTCTGCGTTGAATCATAGTTCAACTCTCAGTTATTTGGAAAATCTCCAAGCTGCTCTCCACAGTGGCTGAACTAATTTATATTCCTATAAACAGTGTATAAGTGGTTTTTTCCCTCTAAAACCCCACCAATATCTACTATCATTTTACTTTTTAACAAAAGCCATTCTAACTGGTGTACGATGGTGTCTTACTGTGGTTTTTATTTACATTTCCTTGATGGTTAGTGATAAGCTTTTTTCATGTTGTTTGGCCACTTGTATGTATTCTTTTGAACATTGTCTGTTATTGCCCACTTTTTCATGGGGTAATTTTTTGCTTGTGAATTCTTTAAGTTTCTTATAGATTCTGAGTATTAGATTTTGTCAGGTTTATAGGTTGTGAATATTTTTGCCATTCTGCCAGCTTTGGGGTTAGTTTGTTTTTGTTTTTCTAGTTTCTCTAAGTGTGATGTTAAATTGTTAGTTTGAGATCATTCTAACTTCTTGATGCAGGTATTTAGCACTCTCAACTTTCCTCTTAACAGAGCTTTTCCTACAACCCAGACATTTTAGTATATTGTGTCTCTTCATTTATTTCAAATTTTTTTTAAGTTTCTGCCTCAATTTTGTTGTTTACCCAAAATTCATTCAGGAGCAAGTTGTTTAATTTCAATGCCATTCTGTGATTTTGTGAGATTTTGTTGGTATTGATATTTATCTTTTTTCCATTGTGGCCTGACAGTATGGTTGGCATAATTTTCATTTTTAAAAAATGTATGGATAATTGCTTTATGGCTAGGAAGTGGTCAATCCTAGAGTATATTCTGTGAGCGATGAGAAGAATTTATGTTCCTTAGATGATGTGTGGTGTATACTATAAATGTCTATTAGTTTCAATTGATCAAGTGCGAAATCAAACTCCAGAATTTCTTTGTTAAGTTTCTGCCTAGATAATCTGACAAACACTGTTATTGGGGAGTTGCGTTTCCCTACTATTATTGCGTGGCTACTTGAGTCTTATTGTAGGTCTAGCAGTACTTGTTGTATAACTCTATGTTCCCCAAAGTTGGGTGCATCTATATTTAGGATAGTTAAGTCTTCTTGTTGAATTGAACTCTCTATCGTTATGCAATGCCTTTCTTTGTTTTATTTTACTATTAATGATTTAAAGTCCTTTTTTCTTAAAAGAGAAACAATTCCAGGTATGGTGGCTCATGCCAGCACTTTCAGACTGAGGCAGTAGGATTGCCTGAGACCAGGAGTTTGAGACCAGCCGAGGCAACATAACAACATTCTGTTTGTACAGATTCTTTTAAAGAAACTATACAGGTGTGGTAGTGTGCCCAACTGTGGTCATATTTACTCAGGAGACATAGGAGGCATGACTGCTTTACTTCAGAAATTTGAGGTTACAGTGAGCTGTGATTGCACCACTGCAATCTGTCCCAGGAGATAGAGTAAGATCCTGTGTATAAAATGAAAAAATAAAGAAAAATAAAATGATTTTAAGTTAAAAAATAATTCATAGATCTCCACTTCTTTAGGGTCACTTGAATATATATTTTTCTCGTTTCATTAGGCTATATTTCCTGGTTGCTTTTAAGTACTGTGGTTTTGTTAAGGTTTTGGTCAATTAAGAAACCACTACCTATTTTATCCTTTATGAAAAAGCTTTGTACATGGGAAAATTGACAATATTCAGCCACACTAGTCATTCCGGGAGCTTCTCCAATCTGTTGTCAAAATGTGTCTTCTTTGTACTGTATGTATTTTCTTGTTAATAAGGTTTACCTCTCTTTCCTCTTAGGAGCCTTTAGTCTCTTCTCTTTGTCACTGTTGCAGGCACTACAGTCTCTTTGTTGTAAGAAATATTTATCTTTATTCTCAGTCGACCCAAGCTGTCATTTAAACTCTATCTCTATTCTGGTCAACACTAAATGTTAAAGGTATAAATCAATAAGTCAGAAGTTTGCATACACGTTTCACTCTGTTTTCTTTCCCGAGGGAGAATCATGGAATGGACAGAATTTTATCTAACTGCACTGTTCTGTAGTGCAGAAATGTAACCAAATTTTCTTTCTTCTAAATGTGGTTATGGTTGGCTTTTTTCTCATGAGGGGTGCTACAAACTCAACTGGCTTTGCTCACCCAATTGCAGTTAAGTTCATACATCCATTGAGAGAAACAGGATCTCAGGTTCTTCTTCAACTATCATTGTGTTCTCAGCTGGCCTCATTTTGTTCATTAGATTTATAAAATATATTTACCTTAATTTCATCACCGAATTTTTTAAAAAATTATTATTTTCCAGCTCTTTTAGCATTATATCCAACAAGACCCAGACAAAACAGTACATAGGAGCTTCTTTTCAAAAAGTAATATTGGGAAGATATGGGAGCTCTGGCCTTGAAAATTTACACTTAAGGAGAGTGGGAAATTGAAGGATAAGTGTAAAGGGTACAAAGGATGCTATGATGAATATACCAGATATAGAGCAACTACCTACAGCAAAAATGTCACTGCTAGAAGAGCTCAAAACCATAAAGTATTTTGGAAAAAGCATAATTAATGTTGATTCTTTTTTCTGAACTATATATTTGTATAATTACATATCAATAACAATTTTTGAAACATCATGTTTTTGAAACAAAATTTAGAAAATCGCAATAGTGGCCTAGGCCAGGAATATATCTTCTAATGCTATCCCTCCCATAGTCCCCCACTTCCTGACAGGCTCCAGTGTGTGGTGTTCCCCTTCCTGTGTCCCTGTGTTCTCTTTGTTTAACTCCCAACTATGAGAGAGAACATGTGATGTTTGCTTTTCTACTCTTGTGTTAGTTTGCTGAGAATGGTGGTTTCCAGCTTCATCCATGTCCCTGCAAAGGACATGAACTCATCCTTTTTATGACTGCATTGTATTCCATGATGTATACATGCCACATTTTCTTTATTCATTCTACCACTGATGGGCATTTGGTTTGGTTCAAAGTTTTTGCTCTTGTGCACAGTGCCATAATAAACATATGTTTGCATGTGTCTAAGTAGTAGAATAATTTATAATCATTTGGTTATATACCCAGTAATGGGATTGCTGGATCAAATGGTATTTCTCATTGTAGATCCTTGAGGAATTGCCATACTGTCTTCCACAATGGTTGAACTAATTTACACTCTCACCAACAGTGTAAAAGTGTTCCTATTTCTCCACATCCTCTCCAGCATCTGTTGTTTCCTGATTTTTCCAATGATCACCATTCTAACTGGAGTGAGATGGTTTCTCACTGTGTTTTTGATTTGCATTTATCTAATGACCAGTGATGATGAGTTTTTTTTTCATATGTTTGTTGGCTGCATAAATGTCTTCTTTTCAGAAGTGTCTGTTCATGTCCTTTGCCCATTTTTGATATGGTTGTTTGTTTTTTTCTTGTAAATTTGCTTAAGTTTTTTGTAGATTCTGCATATTAGCCCATTGTCAGATGGATAGATTGCATAAATTTTCTCCTTTCTGTGGGTTGCCTGTTCACTCTGATGATAGTTTCTTTTGTTGTGAAGAAGCTCTTTACTTTAATTACATCTCGTTTGTCAATTTTGGCTTTTGTTGCCATTGTTTTTGCTGTTTTAGTCATGAAGTCTTTGCCCACGCCTATGTCCTGAATGGTAATGCCTTTGTTTTTTGGGGGGTTTTTATGGTTTTAAGTCTTACATTTAAGTCTTTAATCCATCTTCAGTTAATTTTTGTATAACTAGTAAGGAAGACGTCCAGTTTCATTTTTTTGCATATGGCTATCTAGTTTTCCCAACACCATTTATTAAATAAGGAATCCTTTCCCCATTACTTGTTTTTGTCAGGTTCATCAAAGATCAGATGGTTGTAGATGTTTGATGTTATTTCTGGGGCCTCTGTTCTGTTCCATTTGTCAATATATCTGTTTTGGTACCAGTACCATACTGTCTTGGTTACTGTGGCCTTTTAGTATAGTTTGAAGATAGCTAGTGTGATGCCTCCACTTTTGTTCTTTTTGCTTAGGATTGTCTTGTCTATGCAGGATCTTTTTTGATTCCATATGAAATTTAAAGTAGTTTTTTTTCTAATTATGTAAAGAAAGTCAATGGGAGCTTGATGGGGATAACACTGAATTTATAAATTACTTTGGGCAGTATGGCCATTTTCACAATATTGATTCTTCCTATCCATGAGCACGGATTGTTTTTCATTTGTTTGTGTCCTCTCTTATTTCCTTGAGCAGTGGTTTGTAGATCTCCTTGAAGAAGTCCTTCCCATCCCTTTTAAGTTGGATTCCTAGGTATTTTATTCTCTTTGTAACAATTGTGAATGAGAGTTCATGCATGATTTGGCTCTCTGTTTGTCTATTATTGTGTATAGGAATTCTTGTGATTTTTGAACACTGATTTTGTATACTGAGACTTTTTTGAAGTTGCATATTGGTTTAAGGAGATTTTGGGCTGAGACGATGGGGTTTTCTAAATATACAATCATGTCAGCTGCAAACAGAGACAACTTGAGTTCCTCTTCCTATTTGATTACGCTTTGTTTCTTTCTCTTGACTGATTGCCCTGGCCAGAACTTCCAATACTATATTGAATAGGAGTGATGAGAGAGGGTATTCTTGTTTTGTGCAGATTTTCAAAAGGAATGTTTCAAGTTTTTTCCCATTCAGTATATTGGCTGTGCGTTTGTCATAAATAGCTCTTAATATGTTGAGATAAGTTCCATCAATACATAATTCATTGAGAGTTTTTACCATGAAGAGGTGTTGAATTTTGCTGAAGGCCTTTTTTGCATCTATTGAGATAATCATGTGGTTTTTGTCATTAGTTCTGTTTATGTGATGGAATACATTTATTGATTTGCATATGTTGAACAAGCTTTGCATCCGAGGGATTAAGCTGACTAGATCGTGGTGGATAAGCTTTTTGATGTGCTGCTGGATTCGGTTTGCCAGTATTTTATTGAGGATTTTCGCATCGATATTCATCAGGGATACGGGCCTGAAATTTTCTTTTTCTGGTGTGTCTTTGCCAAGTTTTGGTTTCAGGATGATGCTGGATGCATAAAATGAGTTAAGGAGGAGTACCTCTTTTCTATTGTTTGAAATAGTTTCAGAAGGAATGGTACCAGCTCCTCTTTGTACCTTTGGTAGAATTCGGCTGTGAATCCTTCTGGTTCTGGACTTCTTTTGGTTGGTAGGCTATTAGTTACTGCCTCAATTTTAGAACTTGTTATTGGCATATTCAGGCATTCGACTTCTTACTGGTTTGGACTTGGGAGGGTATATGTGTCCAGGAATTTATCCATTTCGTCTAGATTTTCTAGTTAATTTGTAAAGAGTTTTTTATAATATTCTCTAATGGTAATTTTTATTTCTGTGGATCAATGGTTATATCCCCTTTATCATTTCCTATTGCATGTATTTGATTCTTCTCTTCTTCCTTATTACTCTGGCTAGCAGTTTATTTATTTCTTGATCTTTTCAAAAAAACAGCTCCTGGATTCGTTGATTTTTTGGACGGGCTTTTTGTGTGTCTATCTCCTTCAGTTCTGCTGTGATCTTAATTATTTCTTGTCTTCTGCTAGCTTTTGAATTTGTTTGCTCTTGCTTCCCTAGATTTTTAATTGTGATATTATGATGCCGATTTTAGACCTTTTCTGCTTTCTCTTGTGGGCATTTAGTGCCATAAATTTCCCTTTGCACACTACTTTAGCTGTGTCATATTTTAATTTTTAAGCCCTCAATCTTTCTTTTTCATCATGACAGTCTTGACTGTTTTATGTTTATGAAAACTGTAAAATTGTCTACACAGTTTTTACAAAGACTTTACCAAAATATTTTATTGAGAATGTACAAACCTGTCAGTCAATTAGGGGAGAAGTTGCATTGTAGTAATAAATAGCCACAAAACAAAACCCTGAAGGACATCCAAACCAGAATAAAACAAAACATTTTAACAAAGAGAAAAAGAACAATCTCGCAACAAATATGTGCAGTTTATATCACAAAGATGTTCACATCTCCACTTTAAAGAGAGCTTTTAGAAGTTGATTTAAAATATGGGAAAAGACATTATCCCACACCACAGAAAAAATAAATTTAAGCAGCTCTTAACACATGAACGTATTATCAAGCTCAGATGGAATCAAAATTAAATATTTGACAACAGATTCTACAGTTTGAGAGAAATAGAAAAGTGTTTTTTTCTTTTCTCCAGGTCCACAAGTCTAGTTTCTTGGACTCTCTCACTATAATGGAGGTTGTCATCAGCTCCCCAAAATAAGGGAAGCACAGAGCAGATGGTGGCTGAAGGTGGGGAATCCTGTGAAATCATATTTAAGATCATAGCCCGTGGTCCATTGTATTGTAATCAGCTGGCTCAGGAAAGAAGATCTGGATCTCCTGAGCTCTACACCTACTGCAATGGATATGTCAGGAGTCCCGAGAACCTCTGGGGCCCAAACCCCTCCCACCAAAATATATCATCCAGTATTGAGGACTCTGACACCAAATTCTCACAGAGCATATGCTTATGCAATTTTACATTTAATTTCTCATTACATTACAATTGGGAAAATGAGGCCCCAAAAGAGGCAGGGACTGATCCAGATCTCAGGAGGTGGGCAGGCTCCAGAGCATTAGAGAGAGCTCCAGCTTCCTAGGCCTTGGCTCCATCCCACCTATCAGGTTTGCTTTGGAAGTTAGAGCCTGTAGCTTCACATTCAGGGGCACAGAGAATGAGCAGATCCAGGGTTCTGTTCACATGGGGACCTCTCCATGTCAATTTCAAGATGACAGGACTGGGGTTTTGCATCCAGCTCTGAGGGCACCTGGAAGTAAAATGAGCTATGCTCCACCTCAGCCTAATGTAGAGAATGCCTGCAGGAAAGCCTGTTTTCTTCCTCATAAATAGGGCTGTTTGAACTGGGTGACCTCGACGATTTCACATACTCATAAGTGTCTTCCAGCCCTGATTCTTGCTCTGAGACTGTGCAGAAATGCATCCACTCTCTGTAGGTCCTTCAAATCAGAGGGAGGCATGGCCACTTCAGAGGCATCTTGGGTAGATGAAGATGAGACGGAGCTAAATGTTCCAGAGCATTGGACTCTGAGGCTGAAGTCCACGGAAAATCCCAGCTCCTGTTGGGTTCTTAAGGTCCTCATTTGAAAGTGGTAGAAACTAATTTCACTGGATAAGGGGAGGATATCTCATGGATAAATAGCACAACCCAAAAGGTAGAGGCAAATAGAAGGCAAAGGGGGATTCCAAGGTCACTCATTGTACTTGGGGCCTTCAGATTCTGCTACTTTATCCCCTAGGACCTTGAAGAACCAGTGTCTTGAGGACAGAAAAATCAAGATACCTGATTTGTTCCATAGTGCTCCTGCATTGGGCCATAGAGTTAGTGATGGCCTGGAGGTGGTTACAGCCAGCTCTGTTTCTGGTGCCCACTGAGCTTTGCTGGAGCAGCTGGAACAAGTAAGAGTCACACATCTCATGTTGTTATCAATGATCTCCACATTATCAGGTGGTCAAAAGAGGAAGGGATATTAGAGATCCTCCATATAATCACTTAGCCAGTCTTTTTTCCCTTGCGCTCACCCTTTGCCAGCTAACCAGGTGGGTGCAACGTGGTACAGAAAATTATTACATGATGCCTGCACCCCCCAACCCAGGACCAAACATTCTGAGGACAGCTGGATAAAAGCACTAAAGCAAGTATATGTGAAAGAAAAGAGGAAGGACTATAATATAAAGTGGAATGTTGAGAAGAAAAGCTGGAAAATTATTGCATGGGAGGAACTAAGGCCTCATTGTGGTGATGTTTAATCCATGATAAGGATGACAACAGGGAGACATCTCTGCACAAGTATGTGTCAGGGAGAAGCCACCCTTAGTGAAGAGACTCATAGGTGTGAGTTCGGCAGAGGTTAGAAAGTTTGGCTGCAGACAGCCTGAGGAAGATATAAGTAGAGGGATGGAGAATCCTAGGGCCTGGGAGATGAGGTTAGATATCTGCTCCTTTCTGACAACATTGCCCTAAAAGTCAGCACTTTTCAACAACATATAATATCTCATAATTTATGTGGACCAGAATCTGGACACAGTTCAGTTGGGTACCTCTGCCTTTAGGTCTTTTATGACATTGGGACTGTGGTCTTAACTGAAGCTGGACTGGGAAAGCATGAGCCTTTAAGCTGACTCATGTGAAAATTGGCAGGGTTTAGTGTGGCTGGAGAGCCTGACTTTCCTTCTCTCTACTGGTCTGAGCACCCCCTCAGGCTCTGTTATGTTGGTCTTTACATGGAGCATCTCATAGCATTGAAGCTTGCTTCCTGTGTTTGAGGTATACAATAGAGAGAGAGAATTAGACAAAAAGGTGTACACAAAAAGAGACAGAGAAAGATTGAGGGCGCAAACAGGAAAAACCCAGTAGGAGAAAAATGAGAGCTTTAGAAAAATCTTGACAGGGTGCGGTGGCTCACACCTGTAATCCCAACACTTTGGGATGCTGAGACGGGTGGATCACCTGAGGTCAGGGGTTTGAAAGCAGCCTGGACAATATGGTGAAACCACCGTCTCTTCTAAAAGTACAAAATGAGCAAGGTGTGGTGGTGCATGCCTGTAATCCCAGCTACTTGGGAGACTGACGCAGGGGAATCATTTGAACCTGGGAGGCGAAGGTTCCAGCAAGCCGAGATCACACCACTGCACTCCTGCCTGGGATACAAGAGTGAAACTGTCTCAAAAAAAAAAAAAGGAAACAAAAATCTTGAGAGTTCCAATAATTTTTCTCCTGTATTTATGTTAAAATTGTAACCCCCGTTGTAATGCTATACGGATGAAAGATGTACTTAACTCCTGAGGGTGGGACCTTCATAATAGAGATTACTGGCTTTATACAAGGAACCGCAGAGGGCTCTCTTCCTCCTTCTGCAAAATGATGGTAAAACTTGAAGTCTGCAGTCTGAAATTCAGAAGCGAGTCATCACCAGAGCTCAACCGTGCTGACAACCTGATCTCAAATTTCGAACCTATAGAAGTATGAGAAATTAAGTCCTGTTGTCTATAAGCTGCTTATCTATGGTTCTTTGGCATAGCAGCCTGAACTAATACAAAAGTGATATCCTTTTCTGTATTTCATTGGACAGAAGCTGAATTTGTACCCCTATGCTGTTAAAAAAATGACTTAAAATGGATTTTCAGAATGAAAGATAGGAAATGGCTTGTTGAAACACTAAAATGTTATCTGCTTATAAGATTTTTAAACATTGGCTGAAATTGTTGGAACTGATATGGCCAAATGAAGTCCATGAAGAATCAGATTGCATATGTTAGAGCCCAAATTTCCATTGTGTGTTTCATACTAACTCTCCCTGAATTTGCATGTGACTTGAGAGGAAGCAAGAAGAGATGACAGTATATGTCTCATGACTTTCCATATTCCTACTTTCCTTCCAGCAATCCCTTACAGAACCCACCTCTTAGGCCTTTTCTAATCACTGCCTTAAAGCCAGTATAAGAAAACAAATTTCAGCTGGACTGCTATCTCCTTTTTGGCCAACCTACAACATGATATTTTCCTCAAAACCCAAGGGCCATATTACTGTCATCAGGCTGTAGGCCATTTTATTCAATAAAAAACTGAGTCACTAACCACCTAGTACTGTGAGATTTTGTGAAGAGTTTCCCTGTCATAGACGTGAGAAGGCACATGGATATGATTCTAAATATAAAGAGAAAGCACTAGAAAGTTGAATGGCTGTATTAGGACTTTGTCATACTGCAATGATGAAGTACTTGAGACTGGGTAATTGATAAAGAAAAGAAGTTTAATTGACTCACAGTTCCACATAATTGGGAGGGCACCTCAGAAACCTTCCAATTACAGTGGCTGACAAGTGAAGTGAGTGAGAGCATGGGATGTACCAGATGCTTATGAAACTATCAGATCTCATGAGAACTCACTATCACAAGAACAGCATGAGGAGAACCCGTCCCCATAATCCAATCATCTCCCCTCAGGTTTCTCCCTTAACACCTGGGGGTTACAATACA
Organism: Homo sapiens; assembly: GCF_000001405.40. Classification (NCBI taxonomy): domain Eukaryota; kingdom Metazoa; phylum Chordata; class Mammalia; order Primates; family Hominidae; genus Homo; species Homo sapiens. The sequence goes on along the minus strand of NW_021160026.1, from coordinate 144,065 downwards.
CAGAGAAGTTTGGGTGGAACACACAGCTAAACTATATGAATGCCAGAGGACAGTATCTACATTTAATTTCAACTTCATACTGGAGCAGAATGAAAATGAAGCGCAGTGGAGAAGTGACATTCCCAAGATCACCCTGCCAGACCCAGGCTTGTTTGAGTTGTGGCCCATGCTACCTTCTACATATTCTCCTAATGCTTCCATCTCTAAGTGTGTGCATTATCTACAGGTAACACCACATGATTTTTATGTTTTATCTTATATACATCTAATACAATCCCTAGGAAGTAGATGTTAGCATCATCCCCACTGTGCATGCTTGGAGGCTGGGGAAGCCTCAAATACACAGTGACTTTTATTGGGTCCCAGAGATGGTAAGAAAAACAAGGTTATGTTCCAGCTGTCTCTTATATCCTGGAACCCAGGCTGCATTTAGTTCTTTCCAGGGAATTAAGGGGAAGTTGTGTTTGCATACTTGTGTACAAATGAAGAGTTGACATGGAAGAGGAGACTGAGCAATTAGTAGCATAGTGGGGCTTTTGGGTAGGTCTTACAGAAAGAAGGGACCCAGTAGATGGAACCTTGAAGAGTTTAACACACTTTCTTGGTGACAACCCAACATCAGTTAAGAAACCAGGAACCCACATTCTTGAGACAGCTCTGTATCCACCTCTGTTAGTGAGAGATGCTCAAGAGAGTGAGATGTTCTTTCATTGTGCCCTGAAATTTCTGAGTTTTGACTTTACAAAGGCTCAGTGTAAAAGCCTTATCTGAAAACACGGATGTCAACTCAGGCCTCATCATTGATGCCCCTGGCTATTGGCTGGGTGCACCTACAAATAACACAGGGCAGCTCAGGACAGGCCCCAGAGCCAGGCCTCTCTTGTCAACTCATCTGGGAAGTCCCACACCATTTCTTAGTACCATGAGTTGTATGGGGAGCAAGAGGGAGGGCACTCTTCTTTTACTGAAGCAGATTGTCAGGTGTTGGAACCCTTGTGTACCTGTCATGTTCATACCTAGGCCATAGCTGGCAGAATAAAAAGAAGAGGGTTGGAGAACGAGTCTGTGTACTCAGATGTGAATTCCAAGACTTTAACTTGTCCTCTGGTTTCCTTCCTTGCTGGAGATTCATACAGATTCTCCTTATGTGCCTAATCTGAAGAGCAGAATTTCTTTTCTTTTCTTTTCTCTTTTATTTTCTTTCTTTCTTTCTTTCTTTCTTTCTTTCTTTCTTTCTTTCTTTCTTTCTTTCTTTCTTTCTTCTTTCTTTCTTTCTTTCTTTCTTCTTTCTTTCTTTCTTTCTTCTTTCTTTCTTTCTCTTTCTTTCTTTCTTCTTTTTTTCTCTTTCTTTCTTTCTTTTTCTTTCTTTCTTCTTCCTTACTTCCTTCTGTCTTTCTTTCTCTCTTTTTCTTTTTCTTTTTTCCTTTTTGAGGAAGCCTCGCTCTGTCACCCAGGCTGGAGTGCAGAGAAAAGCAGAATTTCTAGTGGAGGTGTCACATACGGTGAAAACAAGGCAGACCACTGACTTTTCTTTGCGTGGTTTCTAGGCACTTTTTACAGAGCTGCATTCAGATTGATGAGGAGCTTCTTGATGTGGCCAACTCCTCCCTCTTTTTGGAAAAAGACCAGGTGCACTAAGCCAGCAACCACAGCCAGCACCGGGCTGTGGTAAGAGCAGCCACATAGGGGTCTCTACAGACAGAAACCCGAGAAGACCGGGACAGACCCAGTACCCAGACTCCAGTATGAAAACTCTCTGGGCTGTGTCCTATGATCTTCCCATGAGTAACTCATAGTCTTGATCCAGTGGAATCTGGCCTTCATTAGTCTCAGTGGCAAGTTGGTTATGTGGAAAGTCTCTGTTCACTCACTTGGGTGAATAACAGTAAAGACCTTTCTATTGTTTTCACTTTACATTAGGCCATGAGTATTTGTGCCTGTAGCTGCAGTTTGTGTTAGTTTCCTACCCCAGGTATCTCCTGCAGCATGCAGCTTCAGTCCTACCAGACCCTCAAAACTTAAAAGCGAACACTATTTCTAGGGAGGATTTTGCAGGAAAATGGAGAAAGGGTTACACACAAAAAAGGTTAAACTACTCTATGCATGTTTCTGCAATGTGTTATCTCAAGAATTCATCTCTGTAGCCCATCAGGGCAGGAGCTGGTCTCTCACCTGTTGATAATATTCCATAAGGGAGGTTCTTCCCCACAGTGTTTAGTCTTCCAACGCTGGTATAGCCTGACATGATGACATTCTACTTTCATGTTGGTCATGCTGCAGGGAGAATTCTGTGAGTGTCCTAATAGGCTGGAATCACTTGCTAAGGTGAACCCCATCTTTGGTGCTCACTTTTCTGTTATCTTATAATTAGCTTTATTCTAAGCAAATCCATGTCTATTTTATTTATCTGTTTATTAACTTATTTTTATGTATGGAAAAACACATTTTTTTATTTGCTTATTTATTTAGAGACAGGGTCTCCCTCTGTCATCCAGGCTGGAATACAGTGGTAGATTGGAGTGATCATGGCTCATTGCAGCCTCAAACTCTTGAGCTCAAATGATTCTCTCACCTCAGCCTCCTGTGCCACCATGCCCTGCTAGTTGATTTTAATTTGTTATAAAGAAAGTGTCTCATTATGCTGCCCAGGCTGGTCTCAAACTCCTGGGCCCAAGCAATTCTCTCATCTCAGCCTCCCAAAGCACTAGGATTAAAAACATGAGCCACTGTACTGCGCTGTGCCTACTTCAAAGGACTGAAAATAAAAAATAAATAAATCTTTGCCAAATTAAAAAACAAAGCAATAGTTTCCAGGTCTTAGATAAAGACAATTCTCTGTCATGAAGAATGACAGAAGGCTTATTTAGCTGTTAAAATGATTTGCTTATATTTCAAAGAAGCAGAGAAAAAAAGGTACATGTAAAAGTGTTCCAGGCCACTCATGGTGGTTCATGCCTGTAATCTGAACATTTGGGGAGGCCAAGGCATGAGGATACCTTCAAGCCAAATGTTTGAGTCCAGTACAGGCAATATGGTGAAATTCTGTCACTACAAAAAAATAAAATAAATATGGCTGGGCATGTTGGCTCACACCTGTAATCCCAGCACTTTGGGAGTCTGAGGCAGGTGGATAATGAGGTCAGGGGGTGGAGACCAGCCTGGCCAAAATGGTAAAACCCATTCTCTACTAAAAATAATAATAACAAAAAATTAGCCAGACATGGTGGTGTGCGCCTGTAATCCCAGCTACTCAAAAGGCTGAGACAGGAGAATTGCTTGAACCTGGGAGGTGGAGGTTGCATTGAGACAAGATCATGGCACTACACTCCAGCCTAGCCCACAGAGCAAGACACTGTCTTGAAAAAAAATAAAAACAAAAATAAATAAAGCTAGCCAGGCATGGTGGTTCATGCCTATAGTCCTAGGTAATTAAGCGGTTGATGCAGGAGGACTGCTCAAACCCAAGAGGTTAAGGTTACCGTGAGCTATGATTATGCCGTTGCACTTCAGGCTAAGTAAAAGAGTAAGATTCTGCCTCAAAAAATTACTAATTAAAGTTTTCCAGATTACATTGTTTAAGAAAAAGGAAAAGAAAAAAATCTTTTTTTTATTTTCAAATGGGAGAATAGAGCCTCTCATTTCTAATTTGTATTGCCTTCTGCAAAAACTTAGTCTAGGCCCATGGTCTTGAACTACTGGACATCTGAATTTTGGTAGGTGCTGGATTCAGGCAACTGAGGGGTGGCCTTGGGCACACTGTGTGCACATAAAAGAAAGGGTTTGAGGTGAACTAAAAGGTAAAAGAGGGGAAGGTGCTATTAAGAAACCAGAAGTGAGAGACTGTACAGGGTTGGTGGGAGGACTGGTTCATGCTACAGACACTGACCCAGGTGAAACTTTTCTCTGAGTTATTTCTATGTTCATGCAGGAAGACGAGATTATGATCAGGTGGCACAGAAATCTGCGATGGTGAAAAAACCAGGTTGCCACTGCAGATTCGGTGTCTGAAGTAGAACATATGCCAGGGGTCTTGTAGGCACGTGTGTGGGTTTTTGGTGGGAAAGTCTATGAGGAAAGGTAGGATGGGCAACAATCTTGATGCCAAAGCCTTGTCCTGAGAGGGGCTTGACCACGTCAACATGCAGTGTGTATGTTCAGTGGGTGAAAAACATGTGGTGGCTTCAAGTTGGCAGGAGGGTAGAAGGCATCTGTTCTCAGAACTTCTTCCCTCAGAGTCGTCGGTCCTTCTTACCATGGGAGGATGCCTGGAACCACAGGGCAGTGCATGGCGTAGCAGCCTGTGTGCAGAGCAGAGCCTACCTTCCCCGAGACACCTGGAGTCTCTCTCCAGCAAAGGCCCCCACATTGTCTTTCTCCTTACAACACTTTTGATCCTAAATGTGTAAAGTTCCCTGAAAACCCACTGCTTCTTCAACACCCATTTCTTGCCCCAAAATTTAATTCTGACACAACTTAGAGTTCGCACAGATCCCACAAATTCAGGGCTAAGTCCCACATCACCCCTCTCACTGCAGAGGTTAGTCACATGTCCCATAAGCCCATCTATACTTCTGAGCTACTGCCTATAAATCTGAGACTCCCATAAACCCCTTTTCAAGTTAAATAATTTGATAGAGTTACTCAAAAAAACTCAACAAATAAGTCTAATTATATTTACCACTTTATTATAAAAATACAACTCAGAAACTGACAAATGAAAGAGATGTCTAGGAAAAGGAACAGTTGTGGGTGAAGGTAATCCTGGAAATAGCTATATTTAAAGAAATTCCCCCATTCTTTGTGTTCTCAAAGAACAGCTTAGTGAAGAGAAACGTGCTTCCCATTATGACTTTGTGGATGTTCCCCCCCCCCTTTTTTTTAACCTATCACAAAGACGGACACAGATTACAAATTCCTATTTTTAAAAATGAACAACCATTCTGTAATTTAGTCTTCAGTGGTCAAAACAGAGTACTTGTTAACAAAACTTTGCTTGTTCCCCTTCTTCCCTCAGCCCCTGAACTTTGACTCACCCACAGCCTCAGAGAACCTACAACCCATATTTATACATATCCCTCCTAAGAACAGGCTGACTTCAAGATGAAACATTATCTTATCTGGGATCTGATTTTGCTACCCTCCATCCTGTGCTTCCTTTCCAACCTTCTTTGTAAACTTATTTTCTCCTCCCTATGAAATAAAACCCTTTTCCACCTAACCTTTGAGATCCTCAAAGATCTAATCATTTGTACTTTTTCCTTGTTACAACACTTCTTAAGTAACTTCTTAGACAAAGTCTATAAACAGTCTCAGGACAATAACAACTCCATTCTAGAAAGAATATCCCAACTTTTCTTCAATCTCAACCCCAACTGCATCTGCCTGTCAACTTCCAGCTTACCAAAGCTCTGTATCTTCTGACAGTGACAAAGGCTCCTTCTATGGTTGGTGTGAGCAGACTTTGATGTCTGCAGGGCAGACACCCAGGAATAATCAACTGGGCCTTCAGTGGCCCCCTTTTGCAGGGTCAACGTTAGCCTTAGCTTTTAGTCAACGGTCTAAGACTTCTACTTACCAGTTAAAGTCATTCAATTAGTTTTCAATTTAAAAAATACTTCATGTTTGAAGAATCCAGCAAAAATCATTCAAATCTAAGGTTTAAAAGAGAGGAAATTATGGTCGGGCATGGTGGCTCATGCCTGTAATCCCTGCATTTTGGGAGGCTGAGGCGGGCAGATTACCTGAGGTCAGGAGTTCGAGACCAGCCTCACTAACATGAAGAAACACAGTCTCTACTAAAAATACAAACTTAAACGGGGGTGGTCGTGTATTCCTGTAATCCCAGTTACTTGGGAGGCCGAGGCAGGAGAATTGCTTGAACCCGGGAGGTGGAGGTTACAGTGAGCCAATATCGTGCCATTGCACTCCAGACTGGGCAACAAGAGTGACACTAAGTCTAAAAAATAAAATTAAAATTAAAAAAGAAAGTTATAAGGGGCTTACATTTTATAACTCAACAAGAAAAGCCAAAGTATCTATCCCTTTCAGAAAATAAACATGTAATTTAATTATGTTCATAACAAATCATTTAGTAAACAATCATATGTGAACACTTCCAGGCGGTGCCAAGTCCCAGCTCCTAAAACTTAGCGTTACCCTCAAACACCCAGATGACAGCATATGGAACAGAGATACTCACTATCAGAAGTTCTCTGTTTTGAAAAAAGAATAACTGATGTGATAAATTTATGTAATTTAACAATTAATCTACCTCACGTGCTTGTAGGTATGTATTCATTTCGTACCACCGTAGTGGAAGAGAGACTATCCCTATCAATACACCTGGTAACATTCCCAACAGTAAGTCGTGAGATTCTGCTTGAAATCACCTCTCAGACAAATAAAAAACAGTCCTGTGAAATGTACGACACTCATTCTGCTAAAGAAATAGGCAAGTAACAATTTTTAACAAGTGAAATATATTACTACTTAATTTTATTCAAAATTCACCAACTTAATGTGCTTTATAAATATTTTCATGCCTTTCAAGCTCTACTGATAAAACATAGTTTACAGTTAATTAAAAAGTGAAGTTAAAGTAAGTACAAAAACATTTTCAAGGTGACAAAATTAGAAGGTGACAGTGCCGATTGAAACACAGACATATCAGACCCAAGGGTCAAGTCAAGCCATTCTATTACTTGGGATATTTTCCCCACTCACATCTGGTTCAGTGAAGTGGGTCATGACCATCCTACCAGGAGTCGCTACCCTGTGCTCCTCTGTGTCCCTGAGGTGCATTTTACTTTGCAGGTTTTTGCACTGCCTCACTAGGTTGGGTTTCTTTGTCCTTTGAAATATTTTCTCTCCCTTCACCAATCTGAGAACATTTTTTCCTCAATATCAGCATCCATTTGCCTGGCCTGCAATGTGTCTCTAAGGAATGGAAACTAAGCTTTGGGGTAAGAAAATCTTAATGACCTAATGGGTTTGCTTTTAGCGCAAGGGTATACCTAGAGATTCCTTCCAGGCACATCTCAAACAACCACTCCACAGAGAGGCTGCATTCCCATACCTTGGGCTGTTCCCTGAGAGGAGATGACACAAGGGATGCTATTTACTAGACACTTCAAGAGTCATGGCCACTGTTGGCATCTTGGGGAATCCTCAAACAGTTTTGAAATTCAAAACCAAGAAAATAACAGGATGGCTGAGGATGTATTGCCCTGTGAAGTTTCCAAAATGAAACCTGAACCCAAAGGCTTTCTGATGGGGTGTCTGTGCCAAGAGAAGTTTAAACAAAGGGGCACAAAGGTTTTCCGCTTTTTATTTATTTTTTTTACAGTGGGGTGTCAGGGGATTATTCTCTGCTTTCATCTCCTGTAAAATGTTTACAAATGAGAAAAAATTTTTTTAAATGACATCCACTGCTTTTTGACAAAAAGAAGAATTGAAATACTGTGTCTGAAATGTACAATAAAGAACAGTTGATAATGTTGTGAATTATGGAAGGTTAGTTAGTGTTGGTGAGTGTCAGGAAAGAACTGGAAATTTAAAATCTGATTGCAAGCCAGAGTTAGGCTGGGGCAACAGGGAGTTAGATTTGAGTCTCTGCCTGCCACACATTTGGAAAATGCATGAGAAAACTAGTTCCCTTTTGGAGTGTTAAAATAACTAAAAAACAGGTGATTATGTTGAGGTGGCTCTAGTGTCCTGAGCTCTGAGTGGAGAGACAGGCCAAGGCCTCCGTACTTCCAAAAAGCTGCCCATTCTTCTCCAGCTGTGCACCTGATTAGATAGTTTCCACTCCAAGACCCATGATTGGATGTAGTTCAATTCCCTACCCTGCCGCCTCAGACCATGAGTGACATATGTGATTTGACACTGGGTTGAATAAAGCAAGAATTATAGGTTTTTCCTGGATCCTTTTCTGGCAGGGCTTCCTCTGTGAACTAGAAACTGGCCCTGCCTGTAAAATATTTGCATTTACATTTGTATGTAAGATTATTTGTATTAATGAATAATATATATGTGTTATTCATATATGGAATCAATATAATGACAATTGTTTTAAAATTTCAGATGTTTTACTTTCCTGGCACATCCAGGTTTTAGAGCAGGCAGCCTGAGATTTCAAAAGGGAGGCAATTCTCTAAGAAATAATATGAGAGGCACAAGTGAATTTTAAATATTCTGGTAACTACATTTTAATAAATATACCGGGCATGCTTCCCTGTGCCTGTAGGTCGAACTATTAGGGAGACTGAGGTGGGAGGATCACTTGAGACCAGGAGTTTGAGACCAGCCCAGGCAGCATAGAGAAAGCCATCTCTACAAAAAAAAAAAAAAAAAAAAAAAAAAAAAAAAAATTTGAAAAATTAGCCAGGCCTGGTGGTGCATGACTTCAGTCCCAGCTACTCAGAAGGCTGGAGCTGGAGGATCACCTGAGCCTGGGAGGTCAAGGCTGCAATGAACCATGATCACACAACTGCACTCCAGCCTGGCTGACAGAGCAAAACCCTGTCTCAAAAAACTGATCTCTGGAAAGGCAATTTGTTTTTCTGCAATGTAGCCAAGCAGCTAAGTATGTATTGAAGCCATCCTTTAATTTTTAACAGGGCAAGAAAGCTTTCTAAGACCCCGAACTCCAGATATGCGATGGGGCAAATCCTGAAGCGTACATGGCTATCTCTCACAGCTAAAGCATCCCTCACCCCTATCCAGCGCTTCTTACCCCTGGCGCAAGAGAATCACCTGCGGGGAGGAAAACTTTCAAAATCCCTTAAACCCAAGTTGTAACCGCACAACTAAATCAGAATCCTTGGAGCTGGATCTGAAAAAAATATGGTTGAAAGTCGTGCAGGTGATTACAATGTGTAGGCAAGCCAGAAAACCATGGCTTTAACGAGCAGCTTTTGTTAGAAATGATTTCTCCAATGAATGTGAAAACGTTTGCTGCTGAATTGTGACCTTTCCATTTTACCTGCTTTTCCTGCAAAGTATATTTTGCAGACCCAGGCTGGCTTCTCCTTCTGTTCCTGGTTCACCCAGTGCCGTGTGTGCTCAGTGCATCCTGTGCACGGGTCACTGTGTGCCCTGGCCTGGGTGAGCATCATTCTTCGGGGAGAACCTTGATGAAAACAAAGCTGCATTCCAAAAAGTTAAAACCATGCTACTTACTGTGTTGAAGTAAAAATTAAAAGACCCAGGGGGGCTCACCCAAAAGTTAAAACATAAATAAATAACTTGGAACATTAACATACACCTGATGATGTCCTGAGTGAACACGCCCCACTTGAAAACAAAACAAAACATTGCTATTATTCTAAAATATTAATTTAGGATTGTTATGCAAACATGCACTCTTTACATTTTTATTGATAAATAACATGCATACAGCAATATAGGCACAAAGCATTTAGGGAATGTTTGATGAATTATTACTAAATAAATACACTTGTGTATCTAAGAATCAGATTTGTTCATGCCCCTGACACTTTCCCCTTCCCAAAGGTAACCAAGACCTTAAGAGCTAAGTGTAGATAAACTTTGTCATTTTGTACAAGTGTTTTATTACAGATCACTAAAAACATACACAATACAAAAAAAGTATAACAGACCAGTCACCCAGCTTTAACAGCTGCTAGTCATGTGTCATTTTTGTTTTATCTATACTTCCAGCCATGCCCCCACCCCCAATTTCATTATTTTTTAGGCTTTTTGGATAAAATGTATATTCATTGCAAGGTACAATGCGAACTGTAAATAGTAGAGAGATGGGGTTTTACCATGTTGGTCAGGCTGTTCTTGAACTCCTGACCTCAGGTGATCCACTCTCTTCCACCTCGCAAAGTGCTGGGATTACAGGCGTGAGCCAATATACTCGGCCTGAGAATTCATATTTCTAATAAAGTACAAATCCATAGGGCACATGACAACTGCAATGTCTATCTACAGTAAAAACAGTTTGATGAATAAAATGAAAGGCAATTGACTTAAGGTGGGAAAAAAACAATCAAAGCATGGGTACTATGTGCCATCTGTAGGAGCATTTGGTTAAGAATAACAAACAAACCAGTTTTATTGTTTTAATAACCGAAATTGGCAAAATTTCTAGTTTTTCTTTCATAGGAATGCTCTTAGCAAGAAAAAATTTTCATATGGTGAGAGCAAAAATGACAACCATTTGCAAGTAAATGTCTTATGAAATTAAGTAGCAGATATCAAGCTCATGACCTTCAGATTGTTACCCCTAACTCAATCATTTACATAGCAAGTGCAGATAATTTTCATAGTTCCCCATTAAAATTATACTTTACTCCCCTTACAAATTGTGACTGTTTTTAAATAAAGTTCACTAACTAAAATTTTGTATATGACATATGATAAATTTCCCTTCAAGTCACCTTATATTTACTTAATTGTGTTAGCCAGTGTCTGTCTACCTCCCAACAATACTTTGGGATTCTCCCTCCATTTGCACAGGCATCATAGCTGGGGAACAGGGATTCAAAAGACCCAGGCTGTTCCCTACATATGTTTCCTCCTCAGACATCAGTTAATCAGTCAATCAAGTCAAGTGAGAGTGGAGGCCATGTATTCCCTCTTATTCTTGGGCACTCTCCTCCAAGGAGGAAAAGGCCAGGAGGTCCTGTTAGAGGATGCACTCTGAGAGCCCGGGCTCCCTAAGGTATGAGAGTTCTAACCAGCAGGTGTAGACTTTTCAGGAGTGAGGAATGAGGCAGGCATTCCAAACCTGGAGCTTCATCACCTTTTGTTTCATCTCAAGACAATTCTGAGGGGCTGTTTTGGAGCGTGTCTGGAAGGTGAACGTTGAAGAAGAGTGTGGGCTTTGATGTGACTCAGATGAGATCTTTCATGGGGAGGCAGGAATTCAATGCCCAGAATCTGGGCTGGTGTCTTTGAGGTCAGTAGGTTGCCTCTTTGTATCCAAGTCCATTGTTACTAAATTGGAGGCTGGAGATTCTAAATGGCTTCCAGACCATCTCTCTGATTCTCTTTGGGAGATTGGGTCTGAAAAAGACAATGTCAGTATTTTTGGGAAATTCTAGAAAGTCTGCTTGGAAACCTGGGAAGACCTCTTGCCTAGTGCCTAAATATTCAATGTGCAGCTCTAGCCATGTAGATGCTTGGTAGGTATAGAGCTGGGTTTTCATTTATATCAGCAAAACCTATGTCAGAGTTGAAGAAGTAGTCAAGACAAAGTGTCTTGGTCGCAGGCCGGGGAACATCTTAAAAGCAAACTTCTAGCCTGATGACTCTTGGCAATGAGTGTTGGGTCCTGGCTAAAGTGCCTTGAATGCAGCATGAGGCCAATCCATGAATCCAACTTCCAATGGAGAAATGTTAATATTTTTTCAGTTTGAATCAATCAGGGTGAAATTACCTTGCTATTGGTTTGCTTACTTTTTATTATTTCATATAAAATCTAAGACAAAATACATTAAATGCTTATTGATATATGTATTTATTCTTCACCTGGCTCATAATATTTGCCTAATTTTAAACTTTCTTCTATTTTGTAGGTTTCAACTTATTTCATTGTAAGATATTGTTAAATCTAATACGGGCATTGTCACTTTTACAAATAATTTTATTTTATTTCATGTATTTCCTATTCACTTTTTACATTTAAATTATGGACCATTTCATCATATAAAAAGCTCCATTTCTATTTTAAAAATAAGTCTTTGGGTTTTTTTGTCTTGTAATTTCCATATTACATAGTAATGAGATAAACGTTAATGTTTTCAGGGTATTTTAAATTTTAAATAATTACTCATTATATCCACGTGAAATTTGTTTTTACTGCATGTGTGAGTTGGAGAACCGTTTTCACTTCTGACTCATCTTTACTGTGATCTCCTCAGAACTCATACCTCTTGTAGTTGGGAGATTGCAGTATATAATTCCAATAAATGGGGCAAATTCAATAATAACATAATACAAATGAGTTTGAAAGCAGGACATGTCTTCAAAGCATACACAACATGGGCCTATATATGTACAACAATAATAATTTATAAGTTACAGTTTGGATGGGAATTAAAAGTACAGAAAATTTGTTAAAATAAATTAAAATGGAGATCACGTCTCAATAATCTCTGAGCAGACGAAATTAGTTAGGTCTCATAAGTGATCTCAACCTTGCTTGATTTGCAAATACAAGCAAAACTTAAATATTTCTTGTAGCTGCCTATTTAAAAAAGAGAAATGAAGCTCAACCAATCAGGAGTAGCCAACATCCTTATATAAATAGAAACTGTCCAACAAGATAAACAGACGAACAAAAAACAATAAAAAAGTTGTGCTACCACCAATCAAATGATTTTTTTGTTTCTACATTTTTTCAATAAATACTTGCTTCTTACTCTGTCAGAGAAGCACTAAATAACTTTTGGTCTGATATTTTATAATTTATCAATTGCTCTTACTCAAATAGACACTTGGCAATTTCATTGTGTCTCAAATTACTTTTTAGCAGAATAAAATAAACTAGGAATAAACATTACAAAAATGTGTACAGAATATGAGAAAAACATAGAAAGTTTATGAAATATATGAATGTAGACATAAGCAAATAGACAATTTGTATCATATTCTTAGGCAGCAAATCTCAATATTATCAACATCAATTGTCCTTAAGTTTATTTATAAATTCAATTTTGTTCCTATACAGATACCATTAAATATTGGAAGTACACGTTACTATAAAATATTATATAGATGAAAACACACATAAGAATAGACAAGAAAACTCTGAAAAAAAAGCAAAAAACAAGACTGGCAAGCTCTGTGAAAAATCTTGATTGATTAAAAACTCATATGTCACTGAAACTAAAAATTCAGAAATAGACCAAAGTGCCTAAGAAAGTGTCATAGTTCATCCAGGCTGCTATAACAAAATACCTCAGACTGGGTAAAGGATAAACAACAGAAATGTATTTTTCACAGTTATGGAGTCTGGAAAGTGCAAGATCAAGGCAGCAGAAAATTTAGTATATGTTGAGAGCCCTGTTCCCCATAGATGGTACCATCTTGCACACGGGACAAGGGCATTGCCTTCAACTTCCCTTGAAAGAGCACTGATTCCATTCATGAAGATGAAGAACTCTTGGCCTCACCACTTCCCCAAAGGCCACACGCCTAAAATTATCCACATAGGAATTTGCAAAGGGACATAAACATTCAGGCCATCGCAACAAAAACTACATGGGGGATGGCATCATTAATACTTGAGGTGTAAAAATGTGATGTTCTTATCGCAAAGGAAATAAATGATTTATTCTTCATGGCATATAACAAAATAAAGGTCCAAAGAAAATATTTTTTATGAAGATAAATCTATATGGTAAAAAACTAAGTGTTGATAAGGTTAACCCTACAGGTTGCATCAGGATTTTCAAGGTTTCTGGTGATGAGCAAGGCCCCAGAGTTTCCTCCTGTGACATTTACCTGGAAGTTGCTCATGCTGTTATTCAATTTGAAAGTAGATAATATTGTTTGTTTCTGTTCCAATATTTACTAAATTCAAAATAATATAGGGCTCTTTATGCGTAATTGTCAAACAGTCATTCAGTCAATGGTCCTCTGCTGAGGAAGAGCACAGATACATCCAAACACATATGATGTTCCTCAAATAGAGGACTTCTCCCTGTGCGGGAGTCACCTATGTTGCACTTGATCAGAGGCTTTCCCAGGCGAGCATTTCTCTGCAGCCCTACCACAGACTTAACCCTGGAAATCTGACTCAGAAGGTGATAGATGAACACCCAACCTAGCATTCTAATCTAATGGATCCTCTCTTAATAATCCCTTCCAGGGATCTGGGAGCTTTCCTGGATTCGTCTGCCACACACAGCTAGGCTAAAACATTTGGATAGAAGCTTTGATCCTCACTGGCCCTCCTGCCCTGTTCTACCAGCTTCTCTAGAAGTATGCTTCTCTAATTGATCCTGAGAGACCCATCTAAGGCTATCTCTCTGTGCCAATATAATTGATCTCATAAAGTGGGAAGAGAAACAGGCAAGAGTCCAGCTATGCTAGAAGCTGTGTCTAGGGTTCCTTATCTGCTTTATGTCTCTGATTTACCTAAATATTGACAAATACAGATTAATCTCTAGGTAGTAGAAAAACAGAAGGAGAAATCGCAGTTCACAGAAGAAGAAGAAAATGCAATCAGTAATTCCTAGAGTCCCGCTTAAGCTCAGCCACAGGGTACTAAGTCTCTTCAGGAAAAAGCAATGGTTGTCCATCATCTGAAAAACTGTGGCGTTGAACCATGGGCACCGAGAGTGCACACTGCCCACTAGAGTTCCATGCCTACATCACAGAGAGATAGAATAGTCTCAAAGGATTCTTAAGAGTAACGTGGAGACCAAAAGGAGCTGAATCCACAGCCTCTGTCTTACCGTCTGTTCTAATAGTATTTCCAGACTCTTTTGTGGGCTGCACCAGGGGTTATTCAGAAAGAAAAAAAGTTGTTAATGTCCCACCATTCCCCGTAGCTTCCGAGGTCTAAGTTGTTCATTTCCCACGTTCCAGGTTGTTGTTCTCCCTCTATCTCTACAGAATCAGTGTGTCTCATTCCGATATCTATAATCTCACCTTTATTCTAGTCGCCCTTTACTTTTTTCTAGACATTTTGTGTAGTAGAGCCAGGTAAAACAGATACAAGAATATTTACATAAAACTTAACCAGAACTAAGTTGGAGTCCCATAACTGCTGCTAGGCTGGGATGCAACTCAGAGGATACAAAAGCCAGGCTGGTCTAGAATTGCAGGTATGGGAAAGAAAGACATTTCACCCAGGAATTATTAGCACGAAATTCCAAATTTGTGAAATAGATTCCTAGATCCCCCAAACATTTCATCCTTATCTTGGAGGCAATCTGGAAGAGATAATCCCCTTTCAGAGAAAAGCATACCTAATCAACGAATTATCTAACCAACATGTGTGGAAAAGGAGGGAACATCGTAGAGTTGGCCCATTTTAGTCGATGTGGTGAAAAATGCCACGAAGTCAGAGCTCAATTGACCTCAAAAGCCTAAAAGGTGGCACAGATTAGCTTCAAGGGACACATGGTATGGCTGGAGTCAGATGACTGTTATGCTGAAGAAGTCAACAGTGGTGACTGATATCTCAAGAAGTGGGCTAAAAGTCCACTTCTGGTTACTCTGCTAGGTATGGTCTAGGAATTCTTCAACCATGAGACAGATAGGTCAACTTTCACCAGCAACCCCAAGTCTGGTTTGCAGTATTAGACTCTGGGTTGGACACAGATTTAGGTTCAATCTGCAGCTTGATTGTGGTCACTCTCTGGAAAACACTTACCATGGACTTCTAGATGAGTGACCCAGTTAGATCAGCATCTGGGGTTGTTTCCGGTTTGCAGCCCAAAAGATATTCAGACAGTCTACACTTTCCATTGTAGATAACCAAACAGATAGAATATGTGCCATTATCCCAAACCCTGAGTTCTGACCTTTGAGAGGAGCAACCACTCATGTCAGGTTCTGTATGGCTGGCACAGGTTAAACAGCCACAGCGGCCCAGTGGACATCATGAGGTTTCACCTTCCCTGACTCATCTATGAACCAGGACCAGTCATATAGGAAACACTCAGTAAATTGGGGGCCCCACAGAGACAGCAGCTTTGCTTCAGAGGATAGAAGGAGGCACAAAATTTCAACCAGCTGGGGATGCCCTAGCCCTCTATAGGTCAAACTTAGTTTGTCAGGAGTTCTGTAGCAAGCTCTTTGCTGACTTTCAAATCAGTGTAACCAGTAGTGTGTCACTGAGTCCAAAAGGCCAAAGAACACCTCTAGGTGGAAGCTAATCCTTTACTGGAGGCTCCAAATTTTAAAATCAAGATTTTCTTGACCTCAGGATGAACTGATCAATGCAAATCTCCCCAAATATTTTCACTAATCCTTAATTGGAAAGTAAGACTCCAGATTTTTTAACCTTCACTAAAAATAAATATCTGATTTTTTTTCACCTGGGATCTATGTATGTGTGTTGGAGCATGCCTTTACTAATCAGCATAAAGTTACAACTCTCCTTGTGCCTCTATTTTCTACTTGTGCAGAGTTTAAAGTACACAGGTGACAGCTTAGGGTTTTCTGGGTCTTTTGCTAAGCATGTACCTGACCCTGAGCATCCCCATTTCCCCATTTCTTTGTTGATCTCAAAGACCATTATCACAGTCCTAATTCCCAGGAGCTTTTCCTCCTAGAGCTTTTTGGCATGATTATTCTTAGACCCAACTGATATCCTTTGTTCCTGGTGAACTGGTAGCTTATTTCCATTTAAATGCTTTTACAAACATTAAGCTATTGATTTAAGATTTCTGTGCTTTTTAAATTAAGTAATGCTACTGTTAGCTTTCCACAGCAATTCAGGGTTATAAAAAAGGGAAGAAAATAATTATTTTATACCAATAGTAGGAAAAAGAGACTGGGGATGACTATATTAATAGCAGACAAAATAGACTTAAAAAGTTACAAGAGACAATAAGACATTATATAATCATAGAACGTGCATTTGGCAAGAAGATAGAAATAGTTTAAACACTTACATACCTAATAATAAAACATTTAGATATAGAAAGACTAAGTTGACAGAATTAAAGGGACAAATAGACAGTTCTAAAATAATAGTTGAAGATGTTAATACTCCACTCTGAGTAATGAATAGAAAAATGAGATGAATGACAAATTAGGAAATAGAGGACTTGACTAACTCAATGAACTAAATTGATCTAACAGATATATACAATATACTTCATCCAACAAAACAGAGTACACACTCTTCTCAAATGCACATGGGGAATTCTCCAGGATGGGCTGTATAGTAGATCTCAAATTAAATCAATAACAGATGAAATGCTAGAAAGTTTACAAAATTGTATAAATTAAACAACTACACAATTACAACTTAAAGAATTACAAAATTGTATAAATTAAGTAAAGGAAGAAATCACGGAAGAAGTAGGAACATACAGAGGAAGAAAAATGAAAACAAAACATATCAAAAGTTATGGGAAACAGCAAAAACAGTGTTAAGATGAAAAGTTTGCAGCTAAGATACATTTAAAAAGAGCAAAGATTTCAAATAAATAATAACTTTATCACCTAGTAAATTAGAAAAATAACACCAAATTAGATGCAAAACAAAGAGAAAGAAGAAAGTATTGAAGATTTTAGCAGAGATAAATGCAATAGAGATTACACAAACAACAGAATTCCAAAAAACCAAAAGTTCACTCTCAGTTCTTCAAAAAATTAACAATTGGCAAAACTTCAGCTACACACACGAAAAATTAACAGCATATTCACATACTAAAATGAGTAATGAAAGTGGGACATTACTACTAATTCAAAGAAATAAAATGTTTAAAAAAGTGTACTGTGAACTATGATAGGATGATAAATTGGAAAACCTAGATAAAGTGGGCAGATTCCTACTTATGCAAGACTTGATTACAAAGAAATACAAAATCTGAATAGATAGAAAACTACTAAGGAAATGGAATCAGTAATTAAAAACCTCTCATGAAGAAAAGCCCTTGTTTTGTTGGCTTCACTGGTGATGTAGATCAAGCATTTATAGAACAAAAATCCTTTCCAAAATCTACCAAAAGCCTGAAGAGAGCAGTTCCAAACTTATTCCATGATGCCAGCATTAGCTCATACCAAAGCCAAAGAGACTACAAAAACCCATAGACTAATATCCCTTATGAACACGGATGCAAAACTACTCAGCAACATCCTAGCTAACCACATTCAGCAGCATACTAGCAAGATTACACCCCATGACCAAGGGGAATTTATTACTGGAATGTAAGGAAGATTTAGCGTATGGCTGGTTTCAGTGCAATGGTGTTTACAACTAATTGATCACAACCAGAATAGATTTCTTTATTCTTTTTCCAGTCTCACTGGTTCACTTAGCTAGCCTTTCTTAACAAAAGTTTTAGCATATGAAAAATAATCAATGCATATGACACATTAACAAAATTTTTAGAAAACATTATCTCATTAATACAGAAAATGTATTTTACAAAATTCAAAATATTTTATAATAAAAACAATAAATTACGAATAAAAGAAAACCATCTTTGTAAAATTCACGTATAAAAACCCACAGCAAACTACATGTTCTAGAGGAAAAGACCAAAATTATTTCGTCTAAGCTCAGAAGACAGAATGTCTGCTCTTGCCAGCCACTTTTATTCAACACTGTATTAGAAGTTTCATTCAGAGAAATTAAAAAAGACAATGAAATAAACTTCATCAAAGTGTGTACAGAAAATATATTCTTTTATGTAGAAAATCTTAAAGATTCCACACAAAAAATATTAAAATTAATAAATTCAGCAGAGTAGTAGCATACAAAATCAACATAGAAAAATAAACTGTATTTTATGTAGTAATACGAATGATCTGAGAAGAAAATTATGAAAACAACTCAATTTACAATAGCATCAAAAGAATAAAATTAGGAAGTAACCAAGAAGCAAAATGCCAATTATTTTGTGTAGATATTAAAAAATCAATTTTTAAGTTTATGAGGAATCTCAAGGGACCCTAAATTGCAAAAATAATTTTGAAAAAAAAATACCAAAGTTAGAGAAGTCACACTTAATGATTTCAAAACTTACTACAAAATTCCAAAATAGCATGCTACAAATAGACTAATGGAGTAATATAGAAAGCCAATATAAATAAACCCTCATATATATGGTCAAATGATTTTTATGGGAAATGAACTGCCTTTACAACAGTTAGTGCTGGGGAAATTGGGTACCTACATGTAAAAGAGTGAAACTGTTCCCTTAACTTATACCATAAGAAAAAATTAACTAACTCGACAAAAACCTAAATGTAAGAGCTAAAACTACAAAATTCTTAGTATAAAATGTAGGTAAAACATGTCATAACGCTGGATTTCGCAGTGATTTTTTTTAACAGGACACAAAAAATGCAAGAAACAAAAGAAAAATAAAGAGGACTCTATCCAGAATATACAAAGAACAATTCAGCAATAATAAAACAAAATACTTGTTTAAAATATGGGCAAAATACTTAGACATTTCTTTAAAAATTATGTGAAATGGCTAATAAGTCCATGAAAAGGTGCTCAACAAAACTAATCATTAGTAAAATGCAAATATAACTCCAAATGATATATCACTTAATACACATCAGCATAGTTACTACCAAAAGAAACAAAACAAAACAGAAAATCACAAGTGTTGGTGAGGACGTGGAGCAATTAGAACCCTTGTACACTGTTGTTGGAAATGTAAAATGTTGCAGCTGCTATAAAATAACAGTATAATAACTAAAAAATGTACACCAAAAGTCACCATATGATCCCACAATTTCACATCTGGGTATGTAGCAAAAGATGTGAAAGCAAAGACACAAAATAATACACGTACACCTAGGCTCATGGCAGCATTACTCACATCACCCAAAAGGTTTGTGAATTACCCGTGTTGTTTGAATTATCATCAATGAATAAATAAATAAAATGTGATTTATACATATATTGGAACGTTATTCAGTTATGTAAAATAAGAAAATTCTGACACATGGTACGTTATGCATGAACCTTAAGGACATTGTGCAAAGTGACATAAGCCAGTCATAAAAGGACAAATACTGTATCATTCCACTTATGAGATACTTAGAGTAGTTAAATTCTAGAAATCCAAGTAGAAGAGTGGTTCCTAGGAGCTGGAGGGGGAGTAACAGGGAGCTGTTATTTAATGTGCATTAAATTTTGGTTTTGGAAGTTGAAAGAAGGTCCCTATGAATGAGAATAATAGTTGCAAAACAATGTGAGTGTAGTTAATTTTTCTGAGCTGCACACTTAAAATAGCTAAAATGGTTAATTTTATGTATACTTTGCCACAATATAAAAAATATTTTTTAAATAAACAAACTATAGCTATCTGCAATAGGATGAATTAATATCATAAATATAAAGTTGCATAGAAGAAAGTAGATGTAAAAGTATACATGTTGTACAATTTCACTTATATAAAATCCAGAAAGTGAACACAACTGAGGTTCTGGCTTCCAGTAATAATGAAGTAGAGTAGATTGTTCAATAACTGTTTCACATATACTATAATAAAGTTTAATAAAATACTATATTTTGCTATATAGAAAGGCACACTGTTTAGAAGAACTGAATGAAGATTTTAGTATTGCCACTGTAGAAGAGATAAGGATTGGGGTTTGCATCTATTCAAATTAACTCCCTCATAAAATAATAATTTTCAAAGAAATACAACAGAAGCCAGAGTCCCTGTAATTCCTATCACACAATTTAAAAATTTATGAGATGCGTGAAGAAGGATGAAAATGTAATCGATTCACAAGATAAAAAGCAGACAATAGAACCTATTCTCAAGATGTGCAAGATGCTGTAATCGGTAGGTAAGATTTGAAAGAAGCTATGGTAAGTATGTTCATGGGGTTAAAGGAAAACAGTCTCATGACAAGTGAACAGATGTGTAACTGTGCACTCCCAGTCCTTTGGTCACAGGGCTGCAGGACTAAGGAAGGAAATTAAAGAAAAATGAAATTAAAAGGAAAGAGAAATAAGTTTTCTTGTATTAGGCTGATTTGTCCCAGAGGCAGCAATAGGCACAGCCCAGACCCAGGAAAATTCTTGATAATATTATGTAATGTGCTCTGGAGGTTCTCCCAACACTCCCCCAACACAGGGAAAAGAAAAACAAATTCCCTTTGTTTTATGGAATGAGTTTATAGATTCTTGTTCTCTGTAACTAGTGACTTCAAGTATTGTGTTTTATCGAAGAAGTACAATGAAAGTCATGAGAAGCCTGAGTAGGCTGAACTACAGCTGTTTGGGAACCATAGTGAGGGTTATAGGATAAGCCCATGCCCAGGGAAACCTAGATAATGGACATGTGGGTTGCTTGGCAACGGTCATGTGCAATCCTGTCTTTGTCCTGCCTCTGTATTCCTGCTTTCACGCCACTGTAAGCTCGCTTCAAGCTAGCCCACCACCTTTTGTGAAGTGTGTATAAAAGTCAGGTGTTGTCTGTGTTCCGGGCCCGGTCTTTTTGACGTGAGTCAGCTGGTCCTGAGTGCACTCAATAAAGATTCTCCTGTTTCAACCTGAGGTCTGTCTCGTCCTCCTGAATCCCGCAACAGGAGAATTCCAGTATGCACCATGTTCAGGGAACAGTGCGCGTCACTGAAGGAAAAGTGGGGCGGGAGGGGGTGGTGCATGGCTGTGAGAGCCTCTTGGGCTTGCTGGGAGATGTAGTCTTATAAAGACTCCCAGCCCCTTTGTCACAGGGCTGCAGCACCACAATCCCAGCATACAACGGAATCAGGGACAGTGCGCGTCGCTAGAAGAAGAGGTAGAGCTGTGCATAACTCGCTGGGCTTGATGGAAAATGTAATCTCATGAACACTCCTTAGTGAACAGTGAGCGTCACTGGAGGAAAAGGCGGGGCTGTGCAGGCCTTGCTTTAGTTGCTGAGAGATGCGGTCTCATAAACACTCCCAGCCCTTTGGTCACAGGGCTGAAGGACTACATTTCCATCATGCACCGGGATCAGGGATAGTGCGTGTGCCTGGATGAAGAGGCAAAGCTTTGTGTGCCTCCTTTGGCTTGCTGGGAGATGTAGTTTCATAAAGTCACCAGACCTTTCATTACAGGGCCGCAGAACTACAATCCCAGTATGCACCAAGATCAAGGATAGTGCGCGTTACTGGAGGATGAGGAGGGATTGTACACGTCTCGCTGGGCTTGGTGGGATATGTATTCTCATAAATACTCCCAAACCTTTGGTCACAGGGCTGCAGGACTACACTCCCAGCCAGCACCGGGCTCAAGGAAATTGCGCGTCACTGGAGGAAGAGGCGGGGTTGTTTGTTACTCGCTGGGCTTGCTGGGAGATGTATTCTCATAAATCCTCGCAGCCCTATCATCACAGGGCTGAAGGACTACACTTCCAGCCCCAGCATGCACTGGGCTCAGGGACAGCACACGTCACTGGAGGAAGAGGGAGGGCTGTGCGCTTCTCACTCTGCTTTTTTGGGAGATGTAGTCTCATTAACACTCCTAGCCCTTTGGTCATAGATCGCCAAGGACTGCAATCCCAGCATGCACCCAGCTCAGGGACAGTGCGCTAGTCACTGCAGGAAGAGGCAGGGCTGTGTGCACCTCCTGGGAGTACTGGGAGATGTATTCTCATAAACACTCCCAGCTCTTTGCTCACAGGGCTGCAGGAATACATTCCTAGTATGCACCCAGCTCAGTGACAGTGCGCTAGTCTAAGGAGAAAGAGGCCGGGCAGTGTGCGCCTTGCTGGGTTTCCTGAGAGTTGTAGTCTCATGGCCTCTCCCTGTCCTTTGGTCACGGTGCTATAAGACTACAATCCCAGCATGCTTGGGGCTCACGGACAGTCTACATCACTGGAGAATGAGGGGAAGGTTGTGTGCACCTCGCTGCACTTGCTAGGAAATGTAGTTTCATAAAGACTCTGAGACCTTTTGTCACGGGACTGCAGGACTCCAATCCCAGAATGCATCAGGATCAAAAACAGCATGCGTCACTGGGAAAAGATGTGGGGCTGTGTGCGTCTCCCTAGGTTTTCTCGGAGATGTAGTCTCGTGTCCTCTCCCTACCCTTGGCTCACAGTGCTATAAGACTACAATCCCAGCATGCTTGGGGCTCACGGACATTCCCCTTCACTGGATAAGGATGGGAAGGTTCTGCGCACCTCGCTGCGCTTCTTGGGAAATGTAGTTTCATAAAGCCTCTCAGACCTTTTGTCATAGGGCTGCAGGACTACAATCCCAGTATGTATCAGGATCAAAAACAGTATGCGTCACTGGGAAAAGATGTGGGACTGTGTGCCTCTCCCTACGTTTTCTGGGAGATGTAGTCTCATAAACACTCTTGGCCCTTTGGTCACAGGGCTGCAGGACTACAATCCCAGCATGCAGCGAGTTCAGGGACTGTGTGTGTGTGTGTGTGTGTGTGTGTGTGTGTGTGTCCCTGGAGGAAGACGTGGAGCTGTGCGTGCCTCGCTGGGCTTGCTGGGAGATGCATTCTGATAACCAATCCCAGCCCTTTCATCACATAGCTGTAGGACTACAATTCCAGCATGCACGGGGCACCGGGACAGTTCGCCTCAATGGAGGAAGAGAAAGGGGTACATGCGTCTCGCTGGGCTTTCTGGGAGATGTAGTCTCATTATTTCTCCCAGCCCTTTTGTCACAGGGCTTCAGGACTACAATCCCAGCATGCACCGTGCTCAGGGAGAGCGCGCCTCAGTGGAGGAAGAAGTGGACCTGTGCTCTTCTCGCTATGCTTTTTCGGAGATGTATTCTCACACACTCTTAGCCCTTTGGTCACTGGGCTGCCCTTTGGTCACAGGGCTGCAGCACTACAATCCTAGCATGCATGGGACTGAGGGAGCATGCGCTAATCAGTGGAGGAAGGGGCGAGGCTCTGCACGCCTCTCTGGGCTTGGTGGAAGATGCAGTCTCATAAACACTCACAGCCCTTTTGTCACAGGGCTGCAGCGCTACAATCCTAGCATGCACCGGGCTCAGGGAAAGTTGGCGTCACTGGAGAAAGAGGCAGGGTTGTGTGCACCTCCTGGGCTTGGTAGGAGATGTAGTCTCATAAACACTCCCAGACCTTTCATCACCGGGCTGCAGGACTACAATCCCAGCATGCACCCAGCTCAGGGACAGTGCGCATTACTGGAGGAAAAGGCTAGGCTGTGGACCCCTCCTTCTGCTTCCTGGGAGAGGTAGTTTCATAGAGACTCCCAGAACTTTCATCACAGGGATGCAGGACTACCATCCCAGTATGCACTGGGGTCAGGGACAGTCCGCGTCAGTGGAAAAAGAGGCGGGGCTGTGTGCGTCTTCCTAGGCTTGCTGGGAGATATATGCTCATAAACACTCCCAGCCCTTTGGTCGCAGAGCTTCAGGACTACAATCTTAGCATGCACCTGTCTCAGGGACAATGCGTATCACTGGGGGAAGAGGCGGGGCTGTGTGCTCCTCCCTAGGATTGCTGGGAGTTGTATTCTCATAAACACTCCCAGCCCTTTGGTCAAATGGCTACAGGACTACAATCCCAGCATGCGCCAGTCTCCGGGGTAAGGCATAGCCCTGGAAGAAGGGGCAAAGTTGTACATGCCCCACCTAATATGCTGGGAGCTGTAGTCCGTTAACTGCTCTCAGCCTATTTGTCGGTGGGCTTCAGAACCATAATCTCAGCATATACCGGGATCCGGGGTGCATAGACCTGGAGGGAGGGACAGAGCGGTGTGGACTTCCCAGTGTCCAAAGCATTGCTGAGTTCTTATGCTATGCCGACTCTTTGCCACAGAGAGTGAGTACAGAGGTGGACCTGGAGGACAGGTCTGGGCTGAGCATTGAGGAGGGTATTACCCTATGTAGGCACCTTACCTTTGCCCAAATCAGGCGGGTTATCCTCACCCGATTGGCCCTATGCTTCTCAGGTTCCTCTTTCAGCTGCACCCAGGGTTCCTTCCAGAGCATTGCACCTTCTGCAGCTCAGGGCACTGCCTTTTTTCCTAAACTACTGTGGAAACTGTCCTGATGTCTGAGACACTGTCCATTGTGCAGCAGCCCTCTTTTTTCTCTAGCCAGAGCGCGTGCTCAATGGCTTTTGAGAGAAATCTTCCACATGGCCTGCTTGTGAACAGCTTCAGAGCTCTGCAGGGGCTGACAAGGGCTGAGCCTTCCTGGAAACGTCACTCTCAATGGCGCCTTTTTCACGAATGTGAAAGTCGAGGCATCAGGAAGTTAGTTTAATGGGTTGCAGAAAATCTAAGAGCAAGGGAGAAAACCCGCTTTCCAAGGCGTGAGTTTTGTGAGCCATTTTCATCAACCCATTTAAGTGGACAAGCTCCAAAATGTAACCTGAAGCTGCTATTTAGGCATTTTACAATTAAAATCATCGGTCTCATCCCAAGTCGTGCCTCACTTGCCAGTGTCTCAGAGACACAAATGGGACCTGATCCCTCAGGAACAGATAGTGTTCCAGGTTCGTGGGAGCGACTTTTAAGTTGTGGAGCACTTGGGGTCGTTTGAAACCCACTATCTTCAGTAGGGACTTTTACGTCTAGAGAGCATGTGCATTTTGATTTTATCTGTCTTCAAGCTGAACCTTTGCTCATTTTAACAAGTAAAAACACATTCCTGGGTGAAATGTCATTGCATGCTAATGAGACATGAAACATATGCAAAAATATGTACAGCTACTGCACATGTGCACCCAGAAGACCACTCAAAGCATGCCTTCTATAACACTTCTTTCCACCTTCTTATGAATAATCATGTAAAACTCCCAGAAAGAGGGTTTCTCCAGCAACAATTAATGCTGTCTCACTCTTATGAGCAGGCTGCCCTGGAATCTCTTTCTCAGACTGTACCGTCTATTCTGCACTTGATTTTCAACGTATTCTTTTCTTTTTTGTGTGCAATAAATTACTCTATGCTGTACTTCTTTTGCTGCATGTTTCCTGTTTAAATTCTTTTAAGCTAAGAAGATAAGAACCAAGGTATTACATCAGCCATCAACATTTCTTTTGCCATGGCCCGGAGAGAGGTTTGTCTGCTTCATTAATTTCAGTTTCCCTTTTCTTGCAGTGAATACTATGGCACTTCCAGACTACCTGGTTAACTATCGCTGGTTGTTCCAGCGCTGTTTCACTAAAGTTCTGGGGGAAACGTGTTTAAATCACCTATATTCTCTAGAGAGAGAATATATGTCTGCTCTCCTTTTGGCTGCTGCATCTGTACTATCCATAAATGACACTCACCGCATGGGTTGCTCTCAACATTTCATATTCGGGCTAGTTTGCTGCTTAGTTTCACATCTTTCTGGCCACACTTCAGACTCAGCTTATCGTTTGCTGTCCCTTCGGCAATACTCGATCGCCACCTAGTGGCTATTGTACTTTATTTTCTGATCGGGTTTTCTGTTTACAGTTTTGTCTTGTTTTGTTTTGAGTGGAATATTAAGAGAACCCTGTCCCTTCAGGCTTTATGCATTTCCCACCTCCTTGAAATTGTTCTTCAACAGGTTTTCTTTGCTGAACAAACGACTCAAAGTCATGTAGATGCCCGGTCGTGGGGTTTGAATCTGAGCATTGCAGGTGTTATAATTCGGCATCATAAATTGCAAACCAGTAAATTAGGGAAAGGCTTGTCAGCCAGACATCTGCCCCCCAGCCAGCAGTGGGGGTCATCTCGGCAGGGCTGGAGATGTGCAGCGCTGGTGAGAGATAGGATGGTGTATGGCACATGCCTATGACCTCCTAGAGCTTCAGTTAATGGGGTCTCGCGGGGCTGTGCTGGACACCTTGGTGGTTCCACTTGTCCCATTGTGATGCCCATGGCCTCCTGGACTTTAGTACATATTCTGACGTTGCAAGATTCTGTCGGCACCGTGGGAGCCGCTTCCTCTACTGTCATTGAAACACCCCTGGGATGTATATTTAAAAATTGAAACAGCTTTTGGCTAGATGAACCAAAAAAAAAAAAAAGAAAAGAAAAAACTTATCTTCTTTTGTAATACTATTTAGCTTGCATACAGATTAGCTCACAAAACATGGCTGGGGAATGAGACTGTGAACTTTAACACCCTCCTACAGCTAGATCTTTTCTGTAGAAATCAGGGAAAATGGTCTGAAATATCCTATGTGCAAACCTTTATGGCCTGACAACAAAACCCAGCTCTATGCAGCACCTGTGGGCTAAAGCCTAGTAAGCCACAAAGCCCCTCAGAAGCATTAGAAGATCATCTCTTATTAATGGGAAGGGACCCCAGACCCAACAGGCCAACACCAGCTCCAGATAGGGACCCTCAGGGGCCTACACCTCCTGTAGAATCCGCAGCATCCCCACACTATCAGAGTCTTCTGTAGAATCTAAGCTTGTTTCACCTCCTCCTTATGCTCCTCTCTATCAGCCTTTGCCAGGTATAATAGTGACCAGCCCAGCTGTAGTTACTCGCGGTGGAACTTCACCCCATGCAGGGCCAGAGAATTTGATCCCCTTACAGAAAGTCCCAAATGGAGAGAGGACCATCAGAGTGCTTGTTCTCTTCTCAATAAATGATCTAATCCAATGCAAGCAACAGCTCTGATGGCTCCCAAAGAACTTCAGCGCATTTACTGAAGCCTTCCAGGCTCTAACTTTGACCACCATTCAACTTCACCATCCATAAATGGACCCAATGACTGCTGACCACGTAGCTGCAGAAAACTTTTGCTTATTGGCAAAAAATAGAAAAGACTTAAAACTTTTGCTGCTTTCACCATTTCAATGCAGAATTCCTTTGCAGCACAAATGTCACCATAAGGTGGATCCTTGGGAATCCAGTATAAACTATCTCAGAAAATCTCAGTGTGTCCCCAACAGGCAGCAGAGGGCCTCAATAGACTTCAACAACATCTGGACTCCATGGCCACTGTAGTCCGACAAAACCAAGGAGCCTGGGATCTTCTCCCAGCCGGGTAAAGAGGAACATGTTTATATCTAAAAGAAGAATGCTGTTTTTGAGATCAATCAGTCTGGTTTAGTCGAAGAAAATATTAATAATATCATCACCCAGGCAGACAAAATTGAATCTCTAGGAACTTCCATGGGAATATGAAAGCTATGTCCATTGTCTGCCTTGCTCTCTTTAATAGTACCCGTCATTATTATATTTTCAACTTTTACTTTTGTTCCAATTTTGTTTAAAATGTTAACTGATTTCTTGCTCTCTTGCTTACGGCAACTCCATGTTTGCATGATGGTTTTGCAAGGCTTTCAACCTTTGGTTGCCAACATCTTCCCACTGGTTCCACGAACGACATGGTTTACACCCTGTTAGATCACACAGGAAGAAACTTTAAGGCCCAGGCTAGGCAGAAGTAACACCCGCTCAGCAGGAAACAGCTCCAGAAATAATGGCCTAACCCCTCAACCTCCAATATGATTATTGCCCTAAAATCTCTTAGGGGGAAATTGAGGCAGAATAGATAGTACAGAAAATGACCATGATCTCAGGATACAGAAACCATGGTGACTGTACAGCCGACACAATAAGCCGTAGCATTCGCATTGTAATTGGGCTTATTCAAGCAAAGTTATCCTCATTAAGGACTTTCTGTTCTAGAAAGCATGTACATTTTGATTTCACCTGTCCTCAAACTTAACTTTCGCTTATTTTAATAGCAAAAAATATAGGCCCTAGCCAGGCAAGGTGGCTCATACCTGTACTCCCAGCACTTTGGGAGGCTGAGGAAGATGGATCACTTCAAACCAGAAGCTTGAGACTAGACTGGCCAACATAGTGAAATCCCGTCTCAACTAAAAATACAAAAATTAGCAGGGTATGGTGGTGCATGCCTGTAATCCCAGATACTCTGGAGGCAGAGGCATGAGCATGGCTTGAACTCAGGAGGTGGAGGTTGCAGTGAGCAGAGATCACACCACTGCACTCCAGCCTGGGCAACATGGGGAGACTCTGTCTCAAACAAACAAACAAACAAACAGAAATACACTCCTGGGTGGAGATCTAAGATGCTAACGAGACATGCAACATATGAACAAGCATGTATAGTCACTGCGTATGTGCACCCAGAATATCACTCAGAACATGCTTATAAGCAACTCCTCTTCCCCTTTTCTTATTAATAATAATGTAAAACTCCCGTAAGGGGGTTTCTCCAGCGACAATCCACGCTGTCTCACTCTTACGAGCAGTCCGCCCTGGAGTATCTCTCTCAGGGTGTACTGTATTCTGCACTTAACTTTCAAATATTTTCTTTTCCAATAAATTATGCTGTACTTTTTTTCCTTGTGTCTCTTGTTTAAATTCTTAAAAACTAAGAAGACAAGAACAGAGGTATCACATCAGTTGTCAACACAGCAATAAGTCAGCCTCCTTCTTGTAAGCATAGCCCATGCAGAAAAGGAGAGTCGCATCACCTAGGTGCTGGATCCAGAGATATGTCACAACTTATCCCAGGCACCAAGTTAAGGTCATTGAAGATAGTCGTGTTAAATAGTTTCTGGGCCCAGGGATATGTCACAATGGCTCCTGTGAGCAGAGATCAGGCAGCATAATCACATAACCGGTGTGCTGGACACAGCGATAAGCCACTCTTTCATCTCTGGGCATGACCCGGGCAAGAAAGAAGAGCCACAGCATTTAGGTGCTTGCTGCAGAGGTAAGTAACAATCTCTCTTATGGGCAAAACTCGGGTAAGACAGGAGAGTCAAATCTCCAAGGTGATTCATGTAGAAATTTGTCACAAGAAACTTTTTAGGCAGGGCCCATGTTGGATCTTCTTATCTTCCAGAAGTTAGGTCCAGGGATACGTCAGAATACCCAAAATACACAGGGCTCAGTCAATAAAGGAGAGTCACATCACCCAGGTGCTTGGTCTAGACATATGTCACATCTCTTTTATGGGGAAAGCTCAGGTAAAAAAGGAAGGTCACATCAAATTGTTGATATACCCAGAGATATGTCACTTTGCCTTCTGCTTGAAGTGTCTAGGCCAAAGACTCACATCACCTCGGTGTTAGGCCCGTGTTCATATATAAACATTCAACCAGAGTTGAAATGGTGGCCCACATCTAAACTCAGCTCATAGGCAAGGGAGGACTCTCCTATCCTGACCTAGTTAATTGTAATGATGTTGACTCTCATACCGGGCTTAATGCTACAAGTACGATCATGGGTCCCTACCATTAGGAAGGTCTCAAAGTTGATTACGACTCTCATGCATAGTGTATAGGGCCATTGGGTAGTACACAGAGCGTGCTAACTGGGCCGAGCACACAGGTGAGATTGTGACACTCTTATGCACACCCAGCCAACAGTAACTATTGTCATCCTCTCACAGGAACACAGGTCATTCTGCAGAGGAATTGAGACTCTCATGCACAAATCCAGTCTGGTGTTGAGAGGGTTATTCGTGAGCTTAGACCCAACATACAGGAGGTGTTGAATGTCATGCCTACAACTGAGACAGTTGTGGGATTGTTAATCTAATTCCTGGACCATTCTGCAGCTTTCATGGTGAAATTTGCCGGTGCCTAGCACCTGAGTGAATTGATGGTGTCACATGGACCCAGCCCACAGATGGGATATTAACATATTGATGGATCCAGCACATTGAGGGTGTAACTCTATTCTCCTTCCTTGGCACTGCCCACAGTGAGCATTTTGACATATCGCTAGGCCTTGCACCCGGAGATGTGAGTCTCCTCTTCTACCTTGGCGCTGCCCACAGGAAGCGTTGTTATATATAGCTTGGCCTCACATCCAGGTTATGTGACTCTCCGGCTTGTGCACTGCCCATATGGGACACTGTGTTATATTGCTGGGTCCACTACTCAGGCGATGTAACCCAACTGCCTGGGCCGTGCCTTACAGGGGCATTGTGACATATCTCTGTGCTCATCAGCCTGGTAATGTGATTCTCTTCTCCTGCCTGGTCCCTTTACACAGAAGGGATTGTGACACGTTGCTGGGCTTAGCACCAAGTTGATGATGTGAATCTTCTGCCTGGATCGAGTTCACAGAAGGCATGGTGACATACCTCTGGGTCCATCATCTATTTGATGCAACTCTCCTCTCTTACCTGAGCATTGCCCATAAGAGAGATTGTGACATATCCCTGGGTCTAGCACTGGGGTGATGTGAATTCTCTCTGCCTGGGTCATGCCCACAGAAGGAAGTGTGACTTATAACTGGGAACAGCACAGGGGTGATGTGATTCTTCTGCCTGGTCCCTACATACAGGAGTCATTGTCAAATGCCTCTGGGCCCATCATCTAGACTATGTGACTCTCTACTTCTTCCTAGGGCCTGCTCACATAAGGATTGTGACATATTACATGCCCTACATCATGTGACATTTCTCTCATGTCTGGGCTCCGTCTTGGAGATGAATGTCACACATACCTAGGCCTAGCCCCTAGGTTCTGTAACTTCTCTTTTTTCAAAATCCTACCCACCAGGGGCATTGAAACATCTCTCTGGGCACTTCACTTAGGTAATGTTACCCTGTTGCCTGGAGCCTCCACTCAGGGGGTATGGTGACATATTGCTGGACCCAGTACCTATGTGATATTACTCTCCTTTCTTGCCTGGGCCTTGTATACATTATGTATTCTAATATACGGCTGGGTTCAATGACTAGGTGATGCAACTCTCATGCATAGGCCCGACCCACAGGGACATTATGACATTTCTTTAGCTCTGACTCCCCTCTTTTTCCTTAGCCCTGCCAAAAAGGGAGGTGGTGACATATAACTGGACCTAGCAACCAGCTAATATGAGTCTCCTCTTTTGCCTGCACCCAGCATATTTTAGGTGTTGTATCATATCCTTTGTCTCAACACCTGCAGGATGAAATGCTCCTGCCTGAGCCCAGCCATCTGTCAAAATTGTCATTCTCCCACATGAACATGGACCATAATTGAGGTTCTGAAACTCACACCCAGAGGCAGTCAAAAGTTGGAAAATTGGCTCTAATAAGTGGATATTGTCCTTAAGTGGGTTTGTGACTCCCTGACCAAGATCCAAAACACTTGTGAGGCTGTGAGTCCACTAAGATAACTCAGTTTTCAAAAGGGATTAAGGCTCTCATGGAAAAAACCCATTCCTCCATTGAGATTGTGACTTATGCACATAGATGCAACATACAGGAGGCGTTCACTCTCATATCCAGAACTGGCACTTATGAGGGATTGTTAATCTCATCCATGGACCTTCCTGCAGGTGTGATTCTGACGTACACCTCTAGCCAGCTCCTGAGTGATTTGACTTTTTTGCCTGGGTGTAGCCCACAGATGAGATTGTGATATATCCTTGAATCCAGCATCTAATTAATATGCTTCTAATCTCCTGTCTTGGCACTGCCCATAATGGGTATCCTGACCTAACACTGGTCCTGGCACTTTGTTATATGACTCTGTCCTGTGCTTTGCCCACATGAGCCATTGTGACATATTGCTGGGTCCAACACCCAGGTGATGTAACTCTTGTCTAGACTTTGCCTACATGGGGTCATTGTGACATATCTGTGCACTGTTCACCCAGGTGATGGGACTCTCTTGTCCTGTCTGGTGCCTGTTCACAGCTGGGATTCTTACACATCGCTGGGGACAGACTCTAAGTAATGTGACTGTCTTTTTACTGAGGACTACCCACAGGAGGAATTGCAAAATATCTATGGGCCTCTCACTTAAATGATGTGACTCTTTTCCTGGGCTCATTTCTCAGGGGTATTGTGACATATGGCTGACCTCAGCATGGAGGTGATGTGAGTTTCTTCTACTGCTAGGGCTCTGACCAAAGACAGATTACAATGTATCATCGGGCCCAGCACCTGGGTGATTTGACTCTCCCCTCTTGGCTGGGCCCTGCATATATTGTGTATTGTGACATATCACTGGGTCCAACACCTAGGTAATGTGACTCACCTGCATGGCCCATTTCCACCTGAGTATTATGACGTATCTTTTTGTTCATCACTTAGGTGATGCAACTCTCCTCTTTGCCTTGGGCCCTGCATAATTTAGCTATTGTGTTGTATCACTGGGCCAATCGCCTAGACAATAGGAATCTTCTGCCAAGGCCCTGACTACTGGAGACCTTGTGACATAGCTCTGCATTTATCACCTAGAAAATGTGATTCCCCCATTTCTGCCTGAGCCTTGCTCACAAGAAAAACTGTAGCATATTTCTGGGCCCAGCAAACAGGTGATGTGTTTCTCCTGCCTGTGCCTTGCTCACAGGGAAAATTGTGACATATCGCTGGGCCCAGAAGCCAGGTGAGGTGACTCTGCTGCATGTGTCATGCTTTCAGGAGGGGGCAAGAACATATCCCTGGCAGAATACCTAGGGATGTGACTTTCTTGCCTTGTCCCTGTCCTCAGGGGAGAATGTGACATATCCCTGACAATGACCCAGGTGATGAGACCCTCCTGCTTGCTGACTACTCAAATGTGAGATTGTCACATATATTTTGGCCTAGCATGTAGATGTGATGATGACATTCATACCTTAAACCAACCAATAGGAGAGATACTTTGTCTCATAGCCAGGCTTTACAAAATGTGCAAAATTATGGGTCTTCTCTTACTATGAAGGTCAGAGAAAGTAAGCACTCTTGCATATCCTGTAAAGCACTCAGATGGTACAGTGTCATCACAGGGCCCAGAACACAGGTGAGATTGTGTTCTCTGTGTGCACACCCACCAATCATCAGAATTGTCATTCCTACACAGGAACAGAGGTGATTAGGGAGGCCTAAACCTCATACCTGAGTGCCGTCCACAGCTGGAATTGTAACTATCACATGTGAACATCCAGTCACAGTTGGGATAGTGACTTATTTCTGAACCCAGTTTACAGCCAAGTAAAGATCCTCTTATCTGGATCCAGCCAGCTGGAGAGATGTTGACTCTCATACCTGGGCTTATGGCCACAGGTATGATCATAGGTTCATATCAGCATGAAGACCTCAGAGTGTATTATGTTTAATGCATACTCTACAAAGCCCATAGGAGGTACATAGTGTCCTAACAGGGCCCAGCAAACAGGTGAGATTCTAACACTCATGCACACTCTGGTGACAATAAAAGTTATCCTCAAAAATGAGCACAACCGGCCGGGTGCGGTGGATCAGGCCTGTAATCGCAGCACTTTGGGAGGCCGAGGCGGGTGGATCACGAGGTCAGGAGATCAAGACCATCCTGGCCAACGTGGTGAAACCCCGCCTCTCTACTATTTATTTATTATTATTATTTTGAGACAGAATCTTGCTCTGTCACCCAGACTGGAGTGCAGTGGCACCATCTAGTCTTACTGTAACCTCCGCCTCCCAGGTTCAAACAATTCTCTTGTCTCAGCTTCCCGAGTAGCTGGGACTACAGGCTCATGTCACCATGCCCAGTTAATTTTTATATTTTTGGTAGAGACGGGGTTTCACCATATTGATTAGACTGGTGTCAAACTCCTGACTTCAAGTGATCCACCCACTTCGACCTCTCAAAGTTCTGGGATTACGGGCATGGAACACTGTGCCTGGCAACCCCATCTCTACTAAAAATACAAAAATTAGCTGGGCATGGTGGCATGTACCTGCAATCCCAGCTACTCAGGAAGCTGAGGCAGGAGAGTCGCTTGAACCCAGGAGGCAGAGGTTGCAGAGAACCGAGATCGTCCCACTGCACTCCAGCGTGGCAATAGAGTGAGATTCCATCTCAAGGGAGAAAAAATAAAAAAGAAAGCAAAGAAGAAAGAAAGAAAGAAAGAAAGAAAGAAAGAAAGAAAGAAAGAAAGAAAGAAAGAAAAAGAGAAAGAAAGAAAAAGAGAAAGAAAGAAGGAAGGAAGGAAAAGAAAGGGAGAAAGAAAGAAAGAAAGAAAGAAAGAAAGAAAGAAAGAAAGAAAGAAAGAAAGAAAGAGAAAGAAAAAAAAGAAAATTGACTCTCATATATGGATCTTGTCCACAGGTAGGTGGGTGACTCTCAAACCAAAATTCATTACATCTGTGAGACTGTAACTCTCCTAAGGGGACACGGTCAGCCAGAGAAGACACATTTATGAATCCAGTTCACTGTTGAGATTGAGACTGGTGTACTTAGGCCCAACATGCAAATTCTCATACCTGGAATCCGGACATGTGTGGAGTTGTTCATCTCATCCCTGTCGCTTTCTGCAGGTGGGATTGTGACATACATCTCTGCCCAGCTCCCGAGTATTTTAGCTCTGTTTCCTGTGCCCAGCTCACAGATGGGATTCTGATATATCACTGAAGCCAGCACCTAGGTTATGTGACTCTTACCTCCTGCCTTGGTGATGCCCACAGGGGACATTGGGACATATCACTTGGCCTTGCACCTAGGTAATGTATGTTTTCTGTCTTGCATTAGTGCTACTCACCGGGGCGTTGTGATGTATTGCTGGGTCTCACATCCATGTTATGTGACTCTTCTGCCGGTGCCCAGGCCACAATGGCCATTGTGACATAGTGTTGCATCCAAAACCTAGATGATCTACCTCTCCTTCCTGAGCTTTGCCTAAGGGGACATTGTGAAATATCTATGTGCCCATCACCCATGTGGTGTGATTTTCTTCTCCTGCCTAGTCCCTGCTTAAAGAAAGGATTGTGACATATCACTGTGCCCAGCACCTACCTCATGTTACTCTTCTTTTGTTTTATAGGATTTGTTTGGAAGGAGATTGTGATACATTGGTGGGTCCAACTTCGAGGTGACATTACTCTGTTGACTTTGCCCTGCAAGCAGAAAGCACTGTGACACATTATTAGGCCCATCTCCTGCCTGAAGCCTGCCTACAGCAATTTGTAACATATGGCATTGGGACATATCTCTGAGCCCATCAACTATTTGATAAAACTCTTCTTTTTTAACAAAGGCTTTGCCTATAGGAGAGATTGTGACTAATTCTGAGCTCAGAAAATAGGTGATGTTTCTTTAGTTTTTCTGCTTGAGCCCCACATTGTGATGTATTTCTGGTCCCAACAACTGAGGGAAGGGAATCTCCTGTCTGGGTCTTGCCTACAGGGAGACTTGTGAAATATTTCCGCGTTCATCACCTTAAATATGTGACCCTCATCTTCTGCGTGGCCATGTTTACAGAAGGGAGAAGGGGTTATTCCTAGACCCAGCACACAGATCATGTGATTCTGCATCCTGGTCTCTTCAGAGGGTTCATTTTGACATATCTCCAGACTCATCAACTAGATGATGTGACGGTCCTCTTCTCCCTGAAACCTATCCATAGTGGAGATTGTGAAATACAGCCTGGCACAGCACCTACATGATGGTGCTCTCTTCTCATGCCTGGGTGCTGCCCACAGGGGTCATTGTGACATAGCTGGGTACAGTCTTCAGGTGATGTAACTCTCCTCTATTTTGGGGTGCACACACACAGGGCATTACCATATAGCTCTGCTCCTCAGACCTAGGTGATGTGACTCTCCTGTCTGTTACCTCCTCTTAGGGGGTATTGTGATATATTGCTGGGCCCAGAACCGAGGTGATGTGGCCTTTTCTCTTGCCTGGGCCCTGCATACATGGTGTAGAGTAACATATATCTGGGTTGAACACATAGGTGATGTGACTCTTCTGCATAGGTCTTGCCAACAGGGGTATTATGACATACCTTTCTATTCGTTGCCTAGGCTATGTGACTCTCCACTCTTATCTGGGCCCTTCCAAAAGAGGGGATTGTGACATATCAGTGACCCTACCACCAAGGTGATGTGACTGTTCTCTTTTGCCTGGGTTTGCATATTTTGGGTATTGTGACATATCCCTGGGCCCAACACTTAGGGGATAAAAGGCTTATTCCTCTACCTTATGCACAGAGAAACTTGTGACGTTTTTCTGCATTCATCACCAAGGAGATGTGACTCTCCTACCTGCATCCTGACCACAGAGAGGATTGTAACATATTGCTAGATCCAGCACCCAGGTGATGTGACTCTGCTGCCTGGTTCCTAATTTAAGGAGTGGATTGCTACATACCCATGCCTGAGCATTCAGGTAATGTGTCTCTGTTCCCTGGTCCCTGTTCTCAGGGAAGCGACATATCCCTGGCCCAGCGTCCAACTGATTTTACTCTCCTGCTCTCTTCCTATATAAAGGTGTAATTGTGACTTATATCTTGGAACACAACACACAGGTGCAATGATGACTTTCATATGTCACACCAGCCAATAGGAGAGATCCTGCTTCTCCTACCGACACTTAGGGAAATGAAAAAAAAAAATCCCTGGGTCTCCTCGTTAAGATCATCCACTCTCTCACATATTACAGAAAGCCCTCGGGTGGTAGAGAGTCTTATCACAGGGCCCAGCACACAGGTGAAATTTGTTACTCCTATGCGCACCCTGCACCCTCCTGGCCATTATGATTTTCACCCTCACATATAAACAGAACCCACTTGTGGGGTCCTGAATTTCACACATGAATGCAGTTTATAGTTGGAATTGCGAATCTCATATGTAAAGATCTGGCCACAGTTGGAATGGGAACTTCGTTATAAACCCACCGCATAGAAAGGTGATGATTCTCTTATCTGGACCCCGCCAATTGTAAAGATGTTGACTCATATATAGGCTTAGGGCCACAGGTTTGATCCTGGGTCCATACCAGCATGAAAATCTCTGAAAGAATTGAGACTGTCATGCATACCATATAAAGCCCTCAGGTGCAACACAGAAACTCCTAATAGGGCTCAGCACACAGTAATATTATGACATTGGGAGGCACACCCAGCCAACATTAAAGATTGTCATTCTTTCACATGATCATAGTTCACTTTTGAGGCTCTGAATCCCATACCCAAAGGCAGTTTCAAAAGTTGAAAAACTGAGCCTTTTTTATGTGTCTTTTGGCTGTATACATATCTTCTTTTGAGAACTGTCTGTTCATATCCTCGCCCACTTGTTGATGGGTTTGTTTGCTTTTTTCTTATAAACTTGTTTGAGTTCTTTGTAGATTCTGGGTATTAGCCCTTTGTCAGATGAGTAGATTGAAAAAATTTTCTACCATTCTGTAGGTTGCCTGTTCACTCTGATGGTAGTTTCTTTTTCTGTGCAGAAGCTCTTTAGTTTAATTAGATACCATTTGTCAATTGTGGCTTTTGTCGCCATTGCTTTTGGTGTTTTAGACATGAAGTCCTTGCCCATGCCTATGTCCTGAATGGTATTGCCTAGGTTTTATTCTAGGGTTTTTATGGTTTTAGGTCTAACATTTAAGTCTTTAATCCATCTTGAATTAATTTTTGTGTAACGTGTAAGGAAGGGATCCATTTTCAGCTTTCTACATATGGCTAGCCAGTTTTCCCAGCACCATTTATTAAATAGGGAATCCTTTCCCCATTTCTTGTTTTTGTCAGGTTTGTCAAAGATCAGATAGTTGCAGATGTGTGGCACTATTTCTGAGGGCTCTGTTCTGCTCCATTTGGTACCAGTACCACGTACTCTGATTTGGTACCAGTACCATGCTGTGCTGCTATAAAGACACATGCACACGTGTGTTCATTGTGGCATTATTCACAATAGCAAAGACTTGGAACCAACCCAAATGTCCAATAATCATAGATTGGATTAAGAAAATGTGGCACATATACACCATGAAATACTATGCAACCATAAAAAATGAGTTCATGTCCTTTGTAAGGACATGGATGAAGCTGGAAATCATCATTCTCAGCAAACTATCGCAAGAACAAAAAACCAAACATGGCATGTTCTCACTCCTAGGTGGGAACTGAACAATGAGAACACTTGGACACGGGAAGGAGAACATCACACACCGGGGCCTGTTGTGGGATGGGGGAGGGGGAAGGGATAACATTAGGAGATATACCTAATGTAAATGAGGAGATAATAGGAGCAGCACAGCAACATGGCACATGTATACATATGTAACAAACCTGCACGTTATGCACATGTACCCTAAAACTTAAAGTACAATAAAAAAAGTTGAAAAACTGACTCTCATATGTGAGAGTCACAGATATGTTGATGACTCTCATATCATGAGTCGGCACACCTGTGAAGCCGTGATTTCAATTAGGGGAGAAAGTCTGCAAGAGAAAATGGGGCTGCCATGCACAAATTTAGTCCACTATTGAGATAGTGACTTGTGTACTTAGATCGAACATACAGAAGGTGTTCACTCTCATGCCTAAAACCAGAATATGTGCGGGATTCATCCCATGTCTAGAACTTCCTGCAGGTGTCATTGTGACAAACATACACATTTGTCCAGCACCTGAGTGAGTAGACTCTCCTGTTTAAGCCCATCTCACAAATAAAATTGGGACATATCATTGGACCTAGAACTTAGGTGATGTGGCTCTATTCTCTCGACTTGTGCTGCCCACAGGGAGCATTGTAACATATCACTGAACTTAACACCTAGGAGATTGGGGGCTCCTGCCTGAACTCTGCCCACAGGGAGGCAGAGCATATTTCTGCCTTGTAGCATATTTCTGCCTCCATCACCAGATGATGTGACTCTCCTTTCTGCCTGCACCTTGCCCACAGGAAAGATTCTGACATATCACTGGGCCTAGTAATCAGTAATCAGGTGATGTGTCTCTCCTGCCATGGCTTTACCCACAGGGAGTGTGGTGACATATCACTGAGCTCAATATTCAGGTGATTTTACTCTGCTGCTTGTACTCTGATTTCAGGAGGGGATTGTAACATATCCCGGGTGAGCACACAAGTGATGGGACTCCCTTCCTAGCCTCCGACCTCATAAAAGATTGTTACATATCCCTGGCCCAGCCTTAGGTATGTGACTCTCCTACCTGGTCCCTGCCATCAGGGAAGATATTGACAGATCTCTGGCCAAGCATCCAGGTGATGCGACTCTCCTGCTCACTCCCTACCCACAGGAGAGATTGAAACATATATCTTGGCCAGCTCACAGGTGTAATAATGACTCTCATACCTCAAACCTGCCACTAAGAGAAATGCTGTTTTTCCTAGTGAGGCTTTGGAAAATCGGTAGGTCCTAAATCTTCTCTTTGTATGAGGGTCTTAGAGGAATACCACTCTCTCTTATATTATATAAAGCCCTTAAATGGTACAAAGAGTGTTATCACAGGGATATGTTGCATAACCTATGGGAGGGGCCCAGTTATATGTCACAATTAGCCCAGGGGGCAGGGCACAGGCATGAGAAGAATCTCACCACATATGTGCTGGCCTAAGTGATACATCATCATCCCCACTGTGGACAGGTCGCAGTAAGAACAGGAGAGTCACATCATTCTTATAATGGTCTCAGAGATACATCACAATGACTCCCCTGGGCAGAAAGAAGGGATGAGTCACATCACCTGTGGGCTAGGCCCAGAGATGTCACTCTTACTTCTGTGGGCATGCCTCAGGCTGGAGAGGAGAATCACATTACCTAAGCACTGGACCAAGAAATACGTCACAGTCTTTCTCATGGGCAAAGTCCAGGTAAGAGAATAGAGCCACATCAAATAGTTCATGGGCTCAGAGATATGTCACTATGCTCCCTGTGGGCAGGGTTCAGGTAGGACCCTTACATTACCTTGGTGCTGGTTCAGCAATATGTCCCAATGCCTTCTAAGGACAGAACAAAGACAAAAGAGTAAAATCATTTTGGTGTTTTACCCATCGATATGTCACAATCTTCCCCGTGGGCAGAACCTGAAAAAAGGGAAGAGTCATATTAGCTAAATGCTGCGCCTAGCGATAAGTCAAAATTCACCCTGTAAGCAGGGACTAGACAGAAGATAGAGTTACATCATCTGGTGGCTGGTGCAGGGATACGCCACCATGCCCTCTCTAGGCAGGATCCAGACAGGAGAGCTATGTTGCCTGTGTTTTGGACCCAAAAATATGTCACAAACGCCCATGGACAGAGCACAGGAAAGACAGGCACATAACCTGAATATCAGGTTCAGTGGTATGTTCCAATGCCTCCTGTGAGCATTCCAAGGCAGGAGAGGAGACTCACATTACCTGTGTGCAAGACCCAGTGATACGTCACACGGAGGAGTACCACTGTCTTGCATATTGTGTAAACTATGGTAGAGAAATTGTCACCAAAGGGCTCAGCACACTGGTGAGATTATACTTCTCAGATTCACACCACACCAATATTCAGGATGGTCTCTATCACATGTGGAGAGAGCCCACTCTTGAGGTCCTGAATTACACATGCAGACATAGTCCACAACTGGGATTCTGACTTTCATATGTGAACATCCAGCCACAGGTGGGATGGTGACTCATTTTTAAACGCAGCTCATAGGCAGTTAAGAACTCTTATTTGGACCCATCCAAGTAGAAAGATGTTGACTGTCATACCAGGGCTTAAAGCTAAAGGTACAAGGAGGGGTCCGTGCCTGCTTAAGGTTTCAGAGAGAATTGTTACACTCATGCATACTCTATAAAGGCTTCATATGGTGAAGAGAGTGTCCTGCTAGGGCCCAGAACAAAGGTGAGATTGTGATACTCATATGTACACTGAGCCAAGAGCAAAAATTGTCATCTTTTCACATGAACACAGCCCAATGTTAAGGTTCCGAATCTCACACCTGTTGATCTACCTGCTGATGGAATAGTCTGTCAAGAGAAAGCAGAGATGTACGAGCATCAATCTGGAAAACAGCAATAATGGTAGTGTGCACCAGGATTCAGATATCTTCCTAGTATTGTTTTCTCCAAACCTCTTTATTCGTAATTCACCATTTGTTTCATTGCCATTCGGGCAACTAGGTAGTAAGACCATTTTCTGCTAAGCAAGAGTAGGTATACAAGTAACAAATCCCTCTGGCCTCCTCCTGAATAGTTCAGAGAACAGATTCTAGTTCAGCCAGCTGGCTGCTAACACCCCTCCCTTCCTCAGAAATGCTTATGTTTTTAACAGGATTATAAGCCACGGCCTCCCAGCATCGGGTCCCATCAATATATTTGGTGGAATCATCAGCAAACCAAGCATGTCTCTGATCGTCTGGGCTTGGTTCTTTAAAGGATTTGCCCCATTGGGCAGGGGAGGTTTCCTTCCTTATCTGCAGGACTTGCTCAGTGGTTTGCTGAGCTGGCAAGTTTTGCACATCCTCATTTAAAAATGATACCTGTTTTGGTTCCGGCTTAGCCTGGTCTTGTATGTGCCATTTCCATTTACTTTCTTGAGTGTACCCTATCCAATGAGGTTTGAGGGAGTTCATGACCCAAGTCATATTAGGAATTTGGGGCCTCATAAAAACATCATGATTAAGACAAAGGTGTTCTGTTTCCTGTAAAGCCCAGTAGCAGGTCAACAGCTGCTTCTCAAAGAGTATAAGCTTTGCTAGCCTCTGACAGCTTCTGGGTCTAAAACCCCAAAGGTATCTCTTCCCATCTTGTTTCTACCTAAGGCTCCAATGAGCGTGTTGATCTAGGACAGTTACTTGCAGTTCTACTGGCCCATCCTGTAAGGGCCATACTGTTGCTCTGCTTGTTTGGCTGGTTGAAAAGCCACGCTCACTTTCTGTCTTCAGTGAAAGTCATAGCGTTTTCTAGTGACCGCATGCAGAGGTTGTAAAATGTTACCCAAATGGGGAATATGATGTCTCCAGAATCCAAACAAACCAATACAATTTTGGACCTCCTTTTCAGTGGTAGGGCTGCAAATTCTAGTATTTTAGCCTTAGCCTTTGGTAAAATGGACTGTTTCCCTGCATTCCATAGGATGCCAAGGAACTTTACAGTTTGTGGAGGTCCTTGAATTTTACTAGGGTTAACTTCCCATCCTTGAGATAGGATTTGGGTTTTTACCGGATCCAAGCCCCAGCTGACTAGTTCTTCAGTTTTACGCTGACTGGGCCACTCAGGCAGCTGCTTTTTTTCAGCAATAGGCTGATAACTTTGAGGCTGATCAGTCAAGACATAGGCCTGGCCATGGGCCAGGGCCAGCCTGGAAGTCAGATTAGCATTTTCTTTTCTGGCTTACATTTCTGTTGTAGCAGCTGATTCCTATCTTGACACATTAACTTATAAGCAGTAAGCAAGCACCATCCATGCCGGGAAATTCTCTCAGCATCCCATTTACCAACTGGGATTCCCTGCACCTCCTCACACACAGCCAATGATTCAAAATGCACTAACTTAGATTGCCTATTTTCACAAACGCCAGCTCCCTTGGACCACTGAATGGCCAAGGGGAAGAACTAGGGGAGTTCCCATCTGAAGATATGGAAAGTCCCCGAGCTCCCAGTCTGGTCCCTGCACCAAAAAATGGCATGCTTTTGCTTTCGGATCCTGTTCGTGAAGCCAAAAATGTTCTGCGCAGGAAATGCTCAAGGAGAGAAGGAAACACACACACACACACACACACACACACACACACACACACACACACAATACCTTTAAGGGTAAACAAACTGTATCCCACGTAAATGGCAATGCAGATATAATAAGCAAATGATATAATAAGCAAGTTGCAATGGGACGGAGAGAAGGGAAAAGAGATATATATATTTACACTCATCAGACTATGGAGGATTCACCACCAGACTGCGAAGCAACAGACTGGGCTCCAGAGTTGGCCACTTGTCCGTGAACAGATGAGAAGAGATCTCATGAAGTTTTGGCACAGTCTGGAACCCTAGCTCTTTTTGTAATGAGTTATCTGGCATGACGTCCAGTCAGGAGGGCCCTTCATTTCTGGGCTCAAGGAAAAGAAAAAGATCAACTTGTTTTTTTGATTGTCTGTTGTTTTTCAGTAACTAACATATAGGAATAAATTGAAATAGAGATTTATCCGAAACAGCGCTGGATGAAAGCCTCAAGGGGCTCACACAACCTGTTCCAGGACTTGGTGACCATTGTTTGAGTCCAGATTCAATTGAGTTCAAATTTAATATTTAAATTTTACTCCACAAAGTGTCAAAAGTAATTCCTTCAAATGCAGGAAATTATGTAACTACTCACAAACTAAACTTCTCAACCAAAAGTCATAAATTGAGTATAGGAATTAAAAAAAAAAAG
This sequence comes from Homo sapiens, assembly GCF_000001405.40. Taxonomy (NCBI): domain Eukaryota; kingdom Metazoa; phylum Chordata; class Mammalia; order Primates; family Hominidae; genus Homo; species Homo sapiens. The sequence goes on along the minus strand of NW_021160026.1, from coordinate 100,434 downwards.
AAAGAAAATCTAACTACATCTGTCTAAAGGGACTCAATTTATTTATTTATTTATTTTAGAGACTTGGTATTGCTTTGTTTCCCAGGCTGGTCTCAAACTCCTGGTTTCACGTGATCCTCCCACCTCAATCTCCTAAAATGCTAGGATGACAGATATGAGCCATCTTACTCTATAGTAACAAAAACAGACTAAATGTGGCAAGATGCATCCAAAAAATTATGCAAATCATAACCAAATGAGGACAGACTATGTCACAATTATAGTATGCAAAATGCTTTTTAAATAACTGTCTTAGTTTATAAAATATATTATGAAATCAAATTGTCAGAAAAACAAAGGACAAAATAATAAAAGGGTTTATTCACTGGAAACCTATGACAATTATACACATTTACATAATTGTGTGTATATATCTAATTATGTATTCACACAAATATGTATGCACCTTACATGAGTATTTTTAAATATATCAATAATATCTTGACAGAACATAAGCAAAAACGGCAATATATTAAAAGTATAATATTTTAATACACCAGTTCTGTAATTAATAAAAAAGCCAGATAGAATATTAAAAAGTAAACAGACGACATGAAAATACTGTAAAGCAATTAGATATAACAGATGCATACAGAACACTCTACACAAAAACAAAACTCACAATCTTCTCAAAAGCTCATGAAACATTCTCCTAAAAATAACTATGAAGCCAAAAAACAATTCTGAACAGAATTTTTGAAAAATTGAATGTTACAAAAAATTCAAAAAATCAATGAATATAGGAGTTATTTTTTTGAAAAGATCAACAAAATAGACTGCTAGCAAGACTAATAAAGAAAAGAGAGAAGAATCAAAGAGAAGCAATAAAAAATGATAAAGGGGCTATCACCCCTGATCCCATAGAAATACAAACTACCATCAGAGAATGTTATAAACACCTCTACGCAAATAAACTAGAAAATCTAGGAGAAATGGGTAAATTCCTGGACATATACATCCCCCACAAGACTAAACAAGGAAGAAGTTGAATCTCTGAATAGACCAATAACAGGTTCTGAAATTGAGGCAATAATTAATAGCCTACCAACCAAAACAAGTCGAGGACCAGACGGATTCACAGCTACATTCTACCAGAGGTACAAAGGGGAGCTGGTACCAACCCTTCTGAAACTATTCCAATCAATGGAAAAAGAGGGAATCCTCTCTAACTCATTTTATGAGACCAGCATCATCCTGATACCAAAGTCTGGCAAAGACACAACAAAAAGAGAAAATTTTAAGCCAATATTCCTCATGAACATCGATGCAAACATTCTCAATAAAATACTGGCAAACCGAATCAGGCAGCACTTCAAAAAGCTTAACCACCAAGATCAAGTGTGCTTAATCCCTGGGATGCAGGTTCAACATATGCATATCAGTAAACATAATCCATCACATAAACAGAACAAATGACGAAAACCACATGATTATCTCAATAGATGCAGAAAAGGCCTTCGAAAAAATTCAACAGCCTTTCATGCTAAAAAATGCTCAATAAACTAGATATTGACAGAATGTACCTCAAAATAATAGGAACTATTTATGACAAACTCACAACCAATATCATGCAGAATGGGCAAAAACTGGAAGCACTCCCTTTGAAAACCGGCACAAGACAAGAATGTCCTCTCTCATCACTCCTATTCCACATAGTGTTGGAAGTTATGGCCAGGGCAATCAGGCAAGAGAAAGAAATAAAGCATATTCAACTAGGAAAAGAGGAAGTCAAATTGTCCCTGTTTGCAGATGACATGATTGTATATTTAGAAAACTCCGTCGTCTCAGCCAAAAATCTCCTAAGCTGATAAGCAACTTCAGCAAAGTCTCAGGATACAAAATCAATGTGCAAAAATCACAAACATTCCTACAATACCATACAGAGAGTCAAATCCTGAGTGAACTCCCATTCACAATTGCTTCAAAGAGAATAAAATACCTAGGAATCCAACTTACAAGGGATGTGAAGGACCTCTTTAAGGAGAACTACAAACCACTGCTCAACGAAATAAAAGAGGACACAAACAAATGGAAGAACATTCCGTGCTCATGGAAAGGAAGAATCAATATTGTGAAAATGGCCATGCTGCCCAAGGTAATTTATGGATTCAATGTCATCCCCACCAAGCTACCATTGACTTTCTTCACAGAATTGGAAAAAACTACCTTGAAGTTCATATGGAACCAAAAAAGAGCCCGCATAGTCAAGACAATCCTAAGCAAAAAGAACAAAGTTGGAGGAATCGCGCTACCTGACTTCAATCTATAATACAAGGCTACAGCAAGGAAAGCAGCATGGTACTGGTACCAAAACAGATACATAGACCAATGGAACAGAACAGAGGCCTCAGAAATAACACCAAACATCTACAACCATCCGATCTTTGAAAAAAACTGACAAAAACAAGCAATGGGGAAAGGATTCCTTATTTAATAAATGGTGCTGGGAAAACTGGCTGGCCATATGCAGAAAACTGAAACTGGATCCCTTCCTTACACTGTATACAAAAATTAAGTGAAAATGGATTAAAGACTTAAATGTAAGACCTAAAACCATAAAAACTTACAAGAAAACCTAGGCAATACCATAGGCATGGACAAAGACTTCATGACTAAAACACCAAAAGCAATGGCAACAAAGCCAAAATTGACAAACGGGACCTACTTAAACTAAAGAGCTTCTTGTAAAGGGCCCGCTAGGCATACCCAAAGCGGGCAGAAGGCTCCTCAGGGGAAGGTAAGGTTTGAGGGAGTGCAGGTGAGGCACCTGTGGCAGAAAAAAAAAAACGCAAAACAAAAAAAAAAAATTCGCCGCCAAGAAGCGTTCCTGGTTCCCCCACGGACGAAAGTGCCTTCCCATCAGTCCCTGCACTGGGCCTTGGATACTCTGGCGTCCCTGGTTCGAACCCAGGGAGCGACTCAGGCCCGCTAGGGGTACCCCAAAGCGGGCAGAAGGCCCCTGAGGGGAAGGTTAGGTTTGAGGAAAGGGAGGTGAGGCACCTGTGGATGAAAAAAAAAAAAGAAAAAAACTCAGCGTCGAGACGCATTCCTGGGTCCCCCACGGAAGAAAGTGCCTTCCCATCAGTCCCTGCTCTGGGCCCGGTGACCCTGGCGTCCCCGGTTCGAACCAAGGGTGCGTCTCGGGCCAGCTAGGGGTACCCCAAAGCGGGAAGAAGGTCCTTGAGGGGAAGTTAAGGTTTGAGGGAGGGGAGATGAGGCACCTGTGGCAGGAAAAAAAAAAAAACCGCGCCGCCAAGAAGCGGAGACTGGGTCCCCCAAGGACGAAAGTGCCTTCCCATCAGCCCCAGCGCATGGCCCCGGGACCCTGACATCTCTGGTTTGAACCCAGGGTGCGTCTCGGGCCCGATAGGGGTACCCCAAAGCGGGCAGAAGGCCCCTGAGGGGGAAGATTAGGTTTGAGGGAGGGGAGGGGAGGCAATTGTGGCAGGAAAAAAAACAAAAAACAAAAAACACAGCGCCGCCAAGAAGAGGGCCTGTGTCCACCACATAAGAAAGTGCCTTCCCATCAGCCCCCGCGCATGGCCCCGGGAACCTGCCGTCCCTGGTTCGAACCCAGGGTGCGTCTCGGGCCCGCTAGGGGTACTCCAAAGCTAGCAGAAGGCCCTTGAGGGGAAGGTTAGGTTTGAGGGAGGGGAGGCACCTGTGGCAGGAAAAAAAAAACAAACCGAGCCGTCGAGAAGCCGAGACTGGGTCCCCCAGGGACGAATGTGCCTTCCCATCAGCCTCTGCTCTGGGTCCCGGGGACCCTGGCGTCACTGGTTGAACACAAGGAGCATCTCGGGCCCACTAGGGATACCTCAAAGTGGGCAGAAGGCCCCTGCGGGGAAGGTAAGGTGTGACGGAGAGGAGGTGAGTCACCTGTGGCACAAAAAAAAAAAAAAAAACGCGCCACCGAGAAGCGTTCCTGGGTCCCCCACGGACGAAAGTTCCTTCCCATCAGCCCCTGTGCTGGACCGCGGGGAACCTGGCGTCCCTGCTTAGAACACATGCAGCGTCTCGGGCCGGCTAGGGGTACACCAAAGCGGACAAAAGCCACTGAGGGGAAGGTAAGCTTTGAGGGAGGGGAGGTGAGGCACCCGTGGCAGGAAAAAAAAAAAGCGCCCCGGAGAACCGGGGCCTGGGTCCCCCACGGATAAAAGTGCCTTCCCATCAGTCCCTGGGTTGGGCTCCGGTTACCATGGATCGCCGGTTCCAACTCAGGGCCCTCTCGGGCCCGCTAGGGGTACCACAAAGCGGGCAGAGGGCCCCTGAGGGGAAGTTAAGGTGTGAGGGAGGGGTGGTGACGCAGCTGTAGCAGAAAAAAAAGGAAAAAACAGCGCGCCTCCGAGTAGCGTTCCTGGGTCCTTCTCGGAAGAAAGTGCCTTCCCATCAGCCCCAGCGCAGGGCCCCGGGACCCTGGCGTCCCTGTTTCGAACCCAGGGAGAATCTCGGCCCGCTAGGGTTTCCCCAGTGCGGGCAGAAGGCCCCTGAGGGGAAGGTGGGGTTCGAGGGAGGGAAAGTGCAGCACCTGTGGCAGGAAAAAAAACAAAACAGAACTCGCCACCAGGAAGCGTTCCTGGGTCCTGCACGCACGAAAGTTCCTTCCCTTCAATCCCTGCGCTGGGACCCGGGGACCCTGGCGTTCCTGATTCCAACCCAGGGAGGGCCTCGGGCCAGCTAGGGGTATCGCAAAGTGGGCAGAAGACCCCTGAGGGGAAGGTTAGGTTTGAGGGAGGGGATGTGAGGCACCTGTGGCAGGAAAAAAAAAAATCGCGCCGCCGAGAAGCGGGGCCTGGGTCCCCCATGCACGAAACTGCCTTCCCTTCAACCCCTGCTCTGGGTCCCAGGGAACCTGGCGCCCCTGATTCGAACCCATGGAGCTTCTCGGGCCCGCTAGGGGTACCCCAAAGCGGGCAGAAGGCCCCTGAGGTGAAGGTAAGATTTGAGGGAGGGGAGGTGAAGCACCTCTGTCAGGAAAAAAAAAAAAAAATCAACCGCGCCGCCGAGAAGCGTTCCTAGGTCTTCCACGGACGAAAGTGCCTTCCCATCAGCCCCTGCACATGGCCCCGGACCCTGGTTCGAACCCAGGGAGCGTCTCGGTCCCGCTATGGGTACCCCAAAGCGGGCAGAAGGCCCCTGAGGGGAAGGTTAGGTTTGAGGGAGGGGAGGTGAGTCACATGTGGCAGGGAAAAAAAAGAAAAAAAAAGAAAAAAAAACCTCACAGCCGAGAAGCGGGGCCTGTGTCCCCCATGCACGAAAGTGCCTTCCCATCAGCCCTCGCTCACGACCCCGGGACCGTAGCGTACCTGGTTCGAAACCAGGGTGCAAACAAAACTATTATCAGATTGAACAGGCAACCTACAGAATGGGAGAGAATTTTTGCAATCTACCCATCTGACAAAGGGCTAATATCAGGAATCTACAAATAGCTAAAACAAATTTACAAGAAAAAAAAACAACCCTATCAAAAAGTGGGGAAAGGATATAACAGACACTTTTCAAAGGAAGACATTTATGCAGCCAACAGACATATGAAAAATTGCTCATCATTGGTCATCAGAGAAATGCGAATCAAATCCACAATGAGATATCATCTCACGCCAGTTAGAATGGCGATCTTTAAAATTTCAGGAAACAACAGATGCTGGAGAGGATGTGGAAAAATAGAAACACTTTTACACTGTGGGTAGGAGTGTAAATTAGTTCAACCATTGTGGAAGACAGTGTGGTGATTCCTCAGGGATCTAGAACCAGAAATACCTTTTGACTCATCAATCCCATTACTGGGTATATACCCAAAGAGTTATAAATCATGCTACTATAAAGACACACACACACATATGTTTATTGCGGCATTATTCACAATAGCAAAGTCTTGGAACCAACGCAAATGTCCATCAATGATAGATTGGATTAAGAAATTGTGGAGCATATACAGCATGGAATACTATGCAGCCATAAAAAGGATGGGTTCATGTCCTTTACAGGGACATGGATGAAGATGGAAACCATCATTCTCAGCAAACTATCACAAGGACTTCAAACCAAACACCGCATGTTCTCACTTATAGGTTGGAGTTGAACAATGAGAACACATGGACACAGGGCGGGGAACATCTCACATTGGGGCCTGTTTGGGGGTGACGGACTATGAAAGGAATAGCGTTAGGAGAAATACCTAATGTAAATGATGAGTTGATGGGAGCAGCAAACCAACATGGCACATGTATACCTGTGTAACAAACCTGCACGTTCTGCACATGTACCCTAGAACTTAAAGTATAATAAAAAAATTGAATGTTACATACTATAATTTCTGACCAAAAAGGATTAAAACTAGCAATCGATAACAGAAGAAAATTCATACAATTCACAAATATGTAAAAATTAAGCAATTTACTCTTGAACATGCTTTTGTTCAAGAGTTAGAAAACTTACTATTTTGAACATGTCTATAATGCCAAAAGTGACCTACAGATTTAATACAATCCCTATAAAATTCTTAATTTTATTTTTGACAGATACAGAAAATGTGACTCCCAAAAGTATATGGAATTTCAGGAGACCACAAAGAACTCTACAGTTTTCAAAAAGAGAAAAATTTTGGAAACATTACAATTCCTGTTTTCAAAACCTGTTACAAATCTACAGTAATCTAAGTAGTTTGTTACTGGCATAAAGACAGACAAATAGACTAATAAAACCGAGTGCAAAAAAGATGTAAACGCTCACGTATTTATTGTAGCTTTACTTACAAAAATCAATAGGTTAAAGCAATCCATACTTCCCTCAACAAACAAATGAATGGGTACAATTTGGAATATAAAAACAATAGAATATTACCCAGCTTTTGAAAAGCAGAAAACCTTTTATCTATAATAAAAATAAAATCTTGATGACATTATGCTAAATAAAATAAGCCAGCTACAAGACAGATACTGAGTGTATCCACATGTATAAAATATCTAAAGTAGTAACATCCTTAGAAACAGAGAATAAGATAGCATTTGTAAAGGGCTGAACAAAGGAGAAGACAGGCAGTTGTTTCAGGTGTATTGAGTTTTAGTTTTGTAAGATAAAAATGTTCTAGAGATACGTCGAATAATGTCAATGTGCTGAAAAGTCTAAACTATATAATTATTGTCATTGTAAATTATTGTAAAATTGTAAATAATTGTCAATTTTATATGTTTCTTATAACAATGTAAACAATAATAATATCTAAGTGAGATACCGTTTTAATGCATTTCAATAATTATCTTCAGGACCTCGGCAAAACCTGAGTCCTGTCCTCTCGCTTTCCTCCCCGTACACAGCGAGCTTCACCACTTGCTCCGCACCTTCTCCATCAACTACTACCTGTCCCTGGGATCTGTCCAGTCGCCCAGCTAAAGTGCTCAGCAGGTCAGCAGCGCGGCGAGCTTCTATGAGGCGTGGGGTCTGGGGCTCCTGGATCTCTGTGTCCCATTTCACAGAGATTGCCACCTACTGCCGCCTGCTAGAAGATGGGGAGGACTTCAATCTTGGTGGTATTCTGGACAGCAGCAAATACCTGTAAAGCATCCAAAAGACCAACACCCACAGGATAGTGGACGGCAAAGTGGTGTCTGAGACCAACATCACAGACGTCTTGAGGTGCTAAGCCAGCAGAAGCAAGGTCCCTTTGCGGAGCAGGAGGGCAATAAAAACTTCTGTGGTCAAAAAAAAAAAAAAAAAATTACCCTCGCATCACAGAGGTGTTTTCCTCACGCAAACGTAATATAGATTCATTAATACATAGATGTGGAAATTAGGGCAATTTCCACAACTACTCACCCAGAGAGGATTAAAAAAATAATTGACCACCAACTAATTAAATAAATACAGAAGTCATAAATAAAGCATGAGTAATGTTTATACAGTCAAACGAACAGAGAATTATGTTGGCAATACACATATGGTTGATTCATATTTGACTTTTTTTCTACACTCTTTTAAAGTGTACACAGTTAAATATAGTCATAAAAAATTATAACATAGAAGCAGAAACTAAAAACACACTTAAATGATGTAAGACAGCCTATCCTAACAGGAAAATACAGGAATATAAAATATTACAAAACAAAATTGGATAAACATTAACCTGTGAAATACTGAATAAACAAATCTTGCAACTGAAGAAGACTCTTTCTAGATAACTGAAATATTCAACCATAACTGGACACCCATAAAGAACAGATTTTGAATTATTAGCATATGGTTAGAGTAACAAAATTTCACAACAAATGCATTATAATCTTCTATAAAGAACATTTAGAAGAAAATTTTAATGAAGATTTCAATGATATTAGAGAACAGAGTCTCGCTCTGTTACCCAGGCTGGAGTGTAGTGGCGAGACCTTGGCTCACTGCATCCTCCACCTACCAGGCTGAAGCAATTCTCTGCCCCAGCCTCCCGAGTAGCTGGGATTATAGGCACCCGCCCCCATGCCCTGCTCATTCTTTTTGTGGTTTTAGTGGAGACGGGGTTTCACCATGTTGGCCAGGCTGGTCTTGAACCCCTGACATTTTGATCCACCCACCTCAGCCTCTTAAAGTACTGGGATTACAAGCGTGAGCCACCGCACTGGCCTATAATTTATTTTTTTTTTTAAGTAAAGAAAAGCTTTACATTTTTAAATATGGGAACAACATGAATATTGAAAAATATGCAATGAAACACTACTACATAATAAGCAATGAGAAATAAATTATACTATCATTCGGATAATGTTGAGGAAAGTTAATAGAAACACTAATGATAAGTTTTTCTATGCAGTAAACTTAGACACACAAACTGAAATTTTATTAATGTGAGGTGCATACTAAGTAATTCACTTTTTATATAACACATAAATTCAAGTATGCTATTCTGAAATCCCTGAAGCTAAAATTATAGGCTAATTTGGGATACATAAAAATCAAAAAGTGAAAACGTGCAGATCACAGTCCCACTAAGCTTTATGTAAGATTAAATAATAAAATAACTCAATAAGAAATAATGTAACAATTAAGAATTTATTCTATTCTTGGCAGGTTTCTAAGTTTTTCTATGGCATTAAGGTCTTTAAAAATTCTTTGAGGTGAGTAGATACAATAAACTATTCCACAGGTGAGGTGCTTGGCATAGAGAGTTCACGTTTTTAAGTTAATTTCTACCAAGGAAAAGAAAACTTTTTGACCTCCATTACCAGAGATGAAAAAAAGAATAAAGTGAAATACAAGCTTCACTATATCATATGTGCTGAGATGTTTTGGGCTCTGATAAAAGTTTTTCCGATTTTTTTGCAGGATCACATTTGAAATCATAGGACTGAAAATTATGAAGCAGAAACATTTGTCCTTGGTGTTTCTGAAATATGTGAACCAAACCCCAATGCCTGCACTTTTACTCTCACAAACTTCTGACATGAGGAACAGATTTTTACAAAATAGCTTAATATAGAAGTCTCGCAAAATGTGCAGATTTCCCCAGATCCCCCAAAACAATGGAAAAACACTCAGACCACAAGGCCTTCAAGGGAATAGCAGAAAGAAGAGGAGAACTTCGGCTGTCACTGTGAATGCCCTGGAATGTTAGTGGAGGGACAGGAGGAGCCTTAGAAGATTTAGGAGCATAATAAGCATAGGGTAGGAAATGTCCATCTGTGGCAGCAAAAGAAGTAAATCTAGGATTTTCCAGAACCAATTTCATTGAAGCGAACTTCCCACATCACATTTTTAAAGTTTCCTCCTTGGCCTTTGCACCTCTCATCTTTGTTATTTGTTCATTCTTGCCTATTGGGGTGATGCCTATTATTTTCTCTCTTTTTACATTCCAAAGATTTTCCTTTACTGTAGAACAGGGGCATCCAAGGGAGAATCTCACCACGACCCCAGGTCTAGAGCGCCCAGAGTCCGCCATCCCTGGGAATGGAGGCGGCTTCGGCCTGGGGTCGTGGTGAGATTCGTTGGTGGCTGCGCGATTGTGGCGGAGTTGCAAGCAAACGGGTTTCATCACCTTAAATGGTTTTGAACCAAAGAAGCTGTATTCCCTTAAAAAGACGGACAACCCATCGTGTGAACTATAGAGTTTGTGAACAAATTTATATTGGGTTCATAGTGGCGTCATGCACGCAGACTCCTGCGAGTTCCCCTAAGTTCTTAGAGGACTGCTTTGCCTTTTGATCTGAGAGTTGCAAAGTTCCCTAAAGAATGGCCCTTGTGGATAAGCGCTAAGTCAAGAGACAGCGATTGGACAGAATTTGTGAGGAATTTGCCCCCAGATCATGAAAGTCACCCTGAACCCCGCCTCGTGGTGGCTCTGCTGGATGGACGGGACTGCACTGTGGACATGCCCATCCTGAAGGACCTGGCCACCTGGCCTTCTGTGAGGCTCAGTCCATGCAGGAGATCCACGAGAAAGTTCTAAACGAAGTCGTGGGCGCCATGATGTACCACACCTTCTCCCTCACCAGGGAGGACCTGGAAAATTTCAAGGCCCTGAGAGTGATCATGCAGGTGGGCAGTGGCTACGACAACGTGGCCATCAAGGCTGCTGGCGAGCTCGAAATTGCTGTGTGCAGCATCCCGTCCGCAGCCGTGGAAGAGACAGCCGACTCCACCACCGGCCACATCCTCAATCTGTACTGGGGGAACAGGTCACTGTACCAGGCACTGAGGGAAGGCACACGAGTTCACAGCGTGGAGCAGATTGGCGAGGTGGCCTCAGTAAAGGCCCGCATTCGTGGGGAGATATTGGGCCTCATCGGCTTCGGTCGCACGCAGCAGGAGGTTGCAGTTAGAGCCAAGGCCTTTGCAGGATGGGATCGAGCGGTCCCTGGGTGTGCATAGGGTCTACACCCAGCAGGATTTGCTGTATCAGAACGACTGCGTCTTCTTGCATTGCAATCTCAACGAACAAAACTACCACCTTATCCATGACTTTACCATAAAGCAGATGAGGCAGGGAGCATTCCTTGTGAACGCAGCCTGTGGTGGCCTGGTGGACGAGAAAGCCTGAGCACACACCCTCAAGGAGGGCAGAATACGAGGGGCAGCCCTCGACGTGAATGAGTCGGAGCCCTTTAGTTTTGCTCGGGGTCTGTTGAAAGATGCCTGGAATCTCATCTGCACTCCTCTCACTGCCTGCTACAGCCAGCAGGTGTCACTGGAGATGAGCGAGGCAGTTGCCACTGAGATCCGCCAAGCCATCATAAGTCGCATCCCGGGAAGCTTAAGAAACTGTGTGAACAAGGAATTCTTTGTCACATCAGCGCTTTGGTCCGTAATAGACCAGCAAGAAATTCATCCTGAGCTCAGTGGTGCTACCTACAGATATCTGCCAGGCATGGTGGGCGTGGCTCCAGGAGGACTTCTGCGGCCAGGGAAGACATCATCCCTGGAGACATCCCAGTGACTGACAACCTCCCAACAGTGGTACATCCTTCCCAAGGGCCCTCTCCCAACAGCCCACAAAACACGGGGACAGTCGAGAGCATCCCAACGAGCAATAGCAGAGAATGCCGGAAGGTAATTATTCAGATATACTTGGGAACAGTGAAAAATAGATAATCTAAGAGAAAAAGAATCTGACGGCCTTTTTAGCTGATTCCGGACATATGCATCATTGTTGTTGCAGTGTTAAAACAAGAGCTAGAAAACTGACAATGTCGTCTGCTTACGGAAGCTCTGAAAGACTAGGGTGTGATTTATTAACGACCAACTTCTATTATTGTGTGTTAAGTTTTTCATCTGTGCATCAAATCACAAAGAATAAATAGAACTTTTCCCTTTATCAGTCCCTTAGACACAGCAGGTCCTGAACACCCTGCTTATATGTTGCATCAGCAGTTCAAATATCAAAATAAAAACCATGAAGAGGAAATCCGCATCCTGTGACTTGAGTCCCTTCAGTCTACAGGGACTGGTTACCGCTTTTTGCTAATAGGAAGATTACATTACTAGAAAATGTGGAGTAAACTGTTTGCCTGTGGTAAACACCTGCATGCAAAGGATTGAAGACAGTACCGGCTCCTGTACAGAGACGCGTCTCTCACATCTGAGCTGCATATTGAGCGGCAAGTTGGTTGTAAGTTCAGTAAAAGCCGCTGATGATGCAAAAAAAAAAAAAGTATTAAGTTTCACAAGCTGTTAGTAATCAAGTATATTTTCTCAGTTTCAGATCCTCTGCGATTTTATTGAGTGGAAAGTCTTGCGCTGAGAGGGTTCAAGAAAAATAATATTGCATTTCCCTATGTCAAAGGAACACTTTTAATGGTAACTTGTCAGACTATGAACAAACCCACTTTTTAAGATATTGATAAAGTCTTCTTTTCTTCACGTGATATTTTATACAAGAACACTTCAGATGTATTGGATGTGGCTGATTTTAACAAATCCTATTAGATTTGTATCAATTAGTTACATGTTCTATTCATAGTCTTTTGTGAATCATTGCCTTTTTGTTTAAAAAGATGGCCTATTTTGAGCCTTTGTATAAGTACATTCCTGTTTTTGTGACAAAAGAAAAACTTTAAATTTGTCCCAAAGAGAAAAATAATGGCTATCAGAAGTATGCTTTGTTTTAGTGCGAGTTACCGTTACTGTATTTGTGTATTGTAAAAGTGGACATTCTAATTACATTAAAATGTAATTAGAAAAAAGTGCTTAATGAACAAAAACAGAACATAGACAACAAAAGAATATTAGAAGTGATGCATGAAGAAAACGAGATATCAATAAAAAGATTTTTAAAAACCAAGAAAAATTGTGACTCTGAAGAACACAGTAACTATATTAAAAATTTAATCAGCAGTCACAAAAGCGGATTTAATAAAGCAGAAAAAATTAGACAGTTGATAACATTGCACTTATAAATACTGATTCATGAAAACAAATTTTTTAAACAGAATAGAGAAAAAATCAAAATTGGGACTTACAGCACACCACCAAGTGGACCACTGTATTTATAAAAGGAGTCTTAGAAAAACAGTATAGGAGAAAAATAATAAAGAGGATATTTTTAAAAAGTAGCTGAGAACTCCCTAGATGACAAGGTAATTAAACAAGAAGAAATCATGCTAAACAAAAACCTTCAACTGGAATAATTTCACTTCAGAAAAAAAAGTTAAGCATTTCCAAAACAAATAAAAGTTGAGTGTGTTACTAGCCACTGGAACAGTGCTAAAGGAAATGTAAAAGAAAGTCTATCACGTCCAAAAATGACAATATATGCTGCACAGCGTCATAAAAGCATATGAAAATAGAAAGCTCTCTATTAAAGGTAAATACATAAACAGCTATAGAAACCTCTACTGTCATAATGATGGTGCACAAAACTTTCACGTTATTGCTATGGAATTTAAAAAATGAAGCAGAAAGCTGCATAAATATGGGTTCATAGATACTCAATAAGAAAAGATAACAAGTGATATTAATAACAAAGTGGGGGTATAAAGAGGTAAAGCTTTGCATTCCATTGAAATATAGTCATTATATATTGTCATAACTTTAAGATGTTTTATGAAGTCTTTATTTCTCAAGATGATTACAAAAAAACCTGTAGATGGTATGCAGAAGCAAATGAGAAAGAAATTGAATCATGTCACTACAAAATCAATGAAGAAAAATAAAGCAGTAAGAGAAAAAAATGATAAATAACACATCTACAAGAAACACAGAAGACAATTACAAATAATAATAGTAACTTCATTAACTACAGTAATTACTTCAAATACAAAAAGTTAAATACCTTAAAGAAAATGCATAAAATGATTTAATGGATTAAGAACAAAGAAGATCCAGCAATGTACTCTCTACAAGAGTCACTTTAGCTCTAAGGACCCAAATAAGTTGAAAGTAGCAGTATAAAGAAAATATATTTTATGCAAAGAGTAGCTACAATTGGAGGGGCATGGTCATAATTATATTAAACAAAATATATTTTAAGTTAAAAATTTTAAAAAGAGACAGATTGTTATTATGTAACGGTGAGATGGATTAACTTGCAAGAAATCCATAACAATAATTTAGAAATCATATATATAATTTGAAAAATTATACCATCTGCAAAATCTGCAAAAATATACCATTGGGATTTTGATAAAAATTACATTAAATTTTTATATTACTATAAATAACACTGATATCTTTCTTATTTTTTTTTTTGGAGTTAGAGTTTCTGTCTCCCAGGCTGGAGGACAATGGCACGATCTCGCGATTGGCTCACTTCAACCTCCGCCTCCCAGGTTCAACTGATTCTCGTCTTTCAAATATGTAAAACAAATATTGACAGAAGTCAAGCAAGAAATATATAGCAACACAACAATTGCGGACTTCAAGACTCCGCTTTCAATAATGACTAGAATAGTCAGATGTAATATCAGTAAGAAAGCCAAACCTGAACATTATAGACCTAACAAGCATTTACAGAACTCTGTGATCGAAAGCAGCAAAATATGCAATATTCTCAATCACACATGGTACATTCTGTTAGGATACATGTCTTATTAAATTTAAGAAAACTGAAGTCATGCAATGTAAATGAAACTAGAAATCAAAAGCAAGAAAATGTTTCAGATACGTAAATAAGAGGAAATTAAGCAAAATCTTACATATAGTCTTGCTCAAGTGTCAGGTGATTTAATATTGTTAAGATGTCAGGGCCGGCGCGTGACTCATGCCTGTAATCCCAGGACTTTGGGAGGCCAAAGTGTGTGGATCACTTGAGATCAGAAGTTTGAGACTAGCCTGGCCAACATGGCAAAACCCTATCTCTACTAAAAATACAAAAGTTAGCTATACATGTTGGTGCATGACTGTAATCCCAGCTACTCTGGTGGCTGAGACTGGAGAATTGCTTGAACATGGGAAGCAGAGCTTGCAGTGAGCACAGCTCACACCACTGCCCTTCAGCCTGAGTGACTCACTAAAACTCCATCTCCAAAGGAAAAAAAAAAAAGTTGTCAGTATTACCCATGATGATATAAAAACGTAATGTAATTTTCATCTAAATCCCAATGGTATTTTTTTTGCAGAATTTTTGTGTATAATTCTAAAAGTTGTTTAGGAACTGTGACTAGGCAAACACCCTTTAAAAAGGACAAAGAGTTATTACATTTTCTGATTTAAAATCATGATACAAAGCTACAAAAATAAAAACAATATGGTATTGCCACAAAAACGGATACATAGATGATGAAACAGAATAGACATCCTGGAAATAAACCCTCGCATACGTGATAAAATAATCTTCCATATGCTTTCCATGACCATGCAATAGAAAAATAAGTATCTCTTTAACAAAGAATTTTCAAAATTGAATGTTTACAGAGCAAAAATAAAGTTGGATGCTTCTTTTGTATTATATATAAAAAGAAAAGTTGTTTTTTAATGGATTTAATGCTTAAACATAAAAACTAATAAAATTCTTAGAAGTAAACATAGGGGAAAATTTTATGACATAAGTCTTAAAACTTTGCTTAAGTATGACATCAAATTCATAAGAAACAAGGAAAAGAACAAAAAAGAAAGGAACTACATTAACCTTCAAGTATTCTACACATCAAGGAAAACATTTAGTGGCATACAAATGTCACCTAATAAGTGGGTGAAACCTGGGCATGCTGGCTCATGCCTATAATTCTAGAAATTTAGGAGGCCAAGTCAGAACGATCATTTGAGGCCAAAAGTTTGAGACTAGCCATGAAAATATATCAAGACCCTGTCTTGTATAGGGTAATATATGTGCATACATACATACATATGACAAAAAAGTGTAAAAATATTTTCTAATCACATATTTGGTAGGTGTTAATTTCCAAAAGATATAAACTTCTAAAATTCAACAACAACAAAATGTTAATAACTTGATTTAGAATGGTAAATGTTTGAAATGACCTTTCTCCAAAGAAGACATAGAAATGACTAGGTATTTAAAAGGATACTCGTCCGAGGGCAGGACTATGGGAGGCTGCCCTGTACGGAAAAGAAGAAGAAATGGCAGTAAAGAGGGCAACCATCATTCCACCCAGCCCAAAAGGAATAAGAGAAACCCTATCTTTCAGGATTCTCAAGACACAGTTTTCATGGAGTGATAATGAAAGGAGCAACAGCCGCCTTAATATCCCAGAGAGAGCAGGTGGACCAGAAGGCAACTTAAACCAGATTGTTACTGAACCCAATGCAAACTTTCCCCAGTTCTTGCATGAGGGGTATGTACCATGCCAAGGTCTTTACTCCCATATCAACCAGACCTTGAAGGAGGCTCACTTCAACAGCCTGCAGCAGTGAGGGCAAGCTCCAACATGATGAATTAGGACTTCCTTATTCCAACCTAAACTGTGTTTATAAAAGTAATTGCATACACACCAAAAAAAAAGTCTATTGGTTTTTAAGACTAAATTTTAAGTAACAAGTTAATGGGCAGTTGTTTAATTGGGGTTTTACTTCACTGCTGTACTTTTAAAGGGGCTGTGAATAAATGTTTATGAAATTAAAAATATAAAATAAAAAAATAAAAGGATACTCGACATCACTCTTCTAGAAAAATGCAAAGCAAAGTCACAATAATCTACGGCCTCAAGCCGATATTTAAAATAGTATGACAGCTCTTCAAAAAATTTAAAATGAGATTATTATATAATCCAGCAAACCCCCTTCTGGCTATGTACTTAAAATATACAACAGAGATCTGGAAGAGATATTTGCACAACCAAATTTATTGCAATATTATTAACACAAGCCAAAAGGCAGAAACAATCCAGATGTCCCTTGACCAATGAACAGATTAATAACAAGTGGTACATACACAAAGTCGAATATTATTCAGTCTTTAAAAAGACATATTATATGATAATTCTGGAGAAGATCATGTTAATTGAAATAAGCCAGGAACAAAGTGACAGTCTATGATTCCATTCATAATCAGGTATCTTAAGTAGATAAACTCATAGGAAAAAAAAGTTAGAATGGAGCTTGTCAAGGACTGAAGAGATGGTAAAATGGGCAGTTGTTTTATTTTTTATTTTTTTATTTTTTTAAATTATACTTTAAGTTTTAGGGTACATGTGCACATTGTGCAGGTTAGTTACATATGTATACATGTGCCATGCTGGTGTGCTGCACTCACTAACTCGTCATCTAGCATTAGGTGTATTTCCCAATGCTATCCCTCCCCCCTCCCCCCACCCCACAACAGTCCCCAGAGTGTGATATTCCCCTTCCTGTGTCCATGGGATCTCATTGTTCAATTCCCACCTATGAGTGAGAATATGCGGTGTTTGCTTTTTTGTTCTTGCGATAGTTTACTGAGAATGATGATTTCCAATTTCATCCATGTCCCTACAAAGGACATGAACTCATCATTTTTTATGGCTGCATAGTATCCCATGGTGTATATGTGCCAGGTTTTCTTAATCCAGTCTATCATTGTTGGACATTTGGGTTGGTTCCAAGTCTTTGCTATTGTGAATAATGCCACAATAAACATAAGTGTGCATGTGTCTTTATAGCAGCATGATTTATAGTCCTTTGGGTATATACCCAGTAATGGGATGGCTGGGTCAAATGGTATTTCTAGTTCTAGATCCCTGAGGAATCGCCACACTGACTTCCACAATGGTTGAACTAGTTTACAGTCCCACCAACAGTGTAAAAGTGTTCCTATTTCTCCACATCCTCTCCAGCACCTGTTGTTTCCTGACTTTTTAATGATTGCCATTCTAACTGGTGTGAGATGGTATCTCATTGTGGTTTTGATTTGCATTTCTCTGATGGCCAGTGATGATGAGCATTTTTTCATGTGTTTTTTGGCTGCATAAATGTCTTCTTTTGAGAAGTGTCTGTTCATGTCCTTTGCCCACTTTTTGATGGGGTTGTTTGTTTTTTCTTGTAAATTTGTTTGAGTTCATTGTAGATTCTGGATATTAGCCCTTTGTCAGATGAGTAGGTTGCGAAAATTTTCTCCCATTTTGTAGGTTGCCTGTTCAGTCTGATGGTAGTTTCTTTTGCTGTGCAGAAGCTCTTTAGTTTAATTAGATCCCATTTGTCAATTTTGTCTTTTGTTGCCATTGCTTTTGGTGTTTTGGACATGAAGTCCTTGCCCACGTCTATGTCCTGAATGGTAATGCCTAGGTTTTCTTCTAGGGTTTTTATGGTTTTAGGTCTAATGTCTAACTCTTTAATCCATCTTGAATTGATTTTTGTATAAGGTGTAAGGAAGGGATCCAGTTTCAGCTTTCTACATATGGCTAGCCAGTTTTCCCAGCACCATTTATTAAATAGGGAATCCTTTCCCCATTGCTTGTTTTTGTCAGGTTTGTCAAAGATCAGATAGTTGTAGATATGCGGCATTATTTCTGAGGGCTCTGTTCTGTTCCATTGATCTATATCTCTGTTTTGGTACCAGTACCATGCTGTTTTGGTTACTGTAGCCTTGTAGTATAGTGTGAAGTCAGGTAGTGTGATGCCTCCAGCTTTGTTCTTTTGGCTTAGGATTGACTTGGCGATGCGGGCTCTTTTTTGGTTCCATATGAACTTTCAAGTAGTTTTTTCCAATTCTGTGAAGAAAGTCATTGGTAGCTTGATGGGGATGGCATTGAATCTGTAAATTACCTTGGGCAGTATGGCCATTTTCACGATATTGATTCTTCCTACTCATGAGCATGGAATGTTCTTCCATTTGTTTGTATCCTCTTTTCAGCGTATTAGTGACAAAACCAAAGATATTGTGAATCAGTTTATAATTTATTTTTTGAGATAGGGTCTTACTCTGTCACCCAAGCTCAAGTGCAGAGGCGTGATCTTGGCTCACTGCAGCCTCAACCACCTGGGCTCAAGAGATCCTCCCAGTCCAGCCTCCTTAGTACAGGTGAGTGCCAACACACCCAGCTATTTTTTCTCTAGTTTTTGTAGAGATTGGGTCTCACTTTGTTGCCAAGGCTGTACTCAAACTCCTGGGCTCAAGCAATCCTTGTGCCTCAACCTCCCAAAAGGTGCTGGGATTACAAGTTTGAGCCACTGCAACTGGCCAGTTTATAATGTTAATGGCTTTTGGAGCAAGAAACAGTGGGTGCTGCTTCTTGTCTGCAAGATGAGGAGCCTCTTCTCCCCAGAAGTGAGGCATCTTCTACCACAAGGGAGGCTTTGCCCAAACAGTCACCGAAAGGCTGAGATTGATGGGAGAACAAAACAGGAGTGAATATGTCCCTGGAACCTAACTGCTCCCCAATTCAATACTACTGCAGACATTCAGAATGAAGGGGACTTTCAGCTGAGGAACAGGAGTGCACTGGCTGTTAAAATCTCAGATTGAAAACAATTTTGCTTCATTTTCCCTAAATAATTTTTAAACAATTGTTCTTAGGTGACTTTCTAAACTTCGGGTAATATCTGTGAATTAGTAAATGTTCTTTAAAAGATGGAATAATATTTTTATTTTGTTTAATTATATGTGTTTTTAAACTAAACTAATTTTATAGGAAAAATAATTTCTTTCCTTCCCTGTTATATCAAATACAGCCTTTAGCTCAAGACACAAGTAATTCCAGGAAAACTGGAATTTAAGTTCAATATGTTGCACTAAGTACATTTGAAAGTGCATGCATTTTTATTTTAATTCATCATTCTCAGTCAACTATCCCAAGGACAAAAAACCAAACACCGCATGTTCTCACTCATAGGTGGGAATTAAACAATGAGAACACACGGACACAGGAAGGGGAACATCACACTCTGGGGACTGTTGTGGGGTGGGGAGACGGGGGGGAGGGATAGCATTAGGAGATATGCCTAATGCTAAATGTCGAGTTAATGGGTGCAGCACACCAGCATGGCACATGTATATGTATGTAATGTATACATATGTTAATGCACCAATTCTGCATCAAGTCAGTGCAATCAGAGACACGGCAAGAATGACTTTTGGTTTTCTTTTCCTAGTTTTTGAAAATTTCTCAAGTCTGTCATTTTGGACTCTGTATTACATCTTGAATTTTTTTCACTTACTTTAGATCTCCTTACTCTTAATTGTTTAGCTACTACCTTAACATTTACCCTGTGAACCCATGACATTTGAGGTTGCCAAAGTGATTATTACATGATAAAACATATACTTGGTTATGTTTTATCACAATACATTTTGTGAATACTCAAATCATAAACATTTTGCTGGATTCATTCATAGATTCATTTAAAGTATAGTTTGGGTACTTTGATATTTTATGTACACTATAGAATATATATCTGGTGTACTTTGATATTTTATGTACAGAATAAAATATATATTTGATGTACTTTCATATTTTATGTACAGTATATAATACATGCTTTGGGTACTTTGATATTTTTTGTACAGTATAGAATATATACATTGGGTACTTTGATATTTTATGTACAGTATATAATATATAGTTTGTGAACTTTGATATTTCATGTACAGTATAAAATATATATTTGGGGTACTTTGGTATTTAATGTACACTATACAATCTATATTTGATGTACTTTCATATTTTATGTACATAATATAATATATATTTGATGTAATTTCATATTTTATGTACAGTATATAATGTATAGTTTGGGTACTTTGATATTTTATGTACACTATAGAATATATATCTGGTGTACCTTGATATTTTATGTACAGAATAAAATATATATTTGATGTACTTTCATATTTTATGTACAGTATATAATACATGCTTTGGGTACTTTGATATTTTTTGTACAGTATAGAATATATACCTTGGGTACTTTGATATCTTATGTACAGTATATAATATATGGTTTGTGAACTTTGATATTTCATGTAGAGTATAAAATATATATTTGCGGTACATTGATATTATATGTACAGTATATAATGTATATTTGATGTACTTTCATATTTTATGTACCTAATATATATTTGATGTAATTTCATATTTTATGTACAGTATATAATTTATAGTTTCTGTACTTTGTTATTTTATGTACACTATAGAATATATATCTGGTGTACTTTGATATATTATGTACAGAATAAAATATATATTTGATGTACTTTCATATTTTATATACAGTATATAATACATGCTTTGGGTACTTTGATATTTTTTGTACAGTATAGAATATATACCTTGGGTACTTTGATATTTTATGTACAGTATATAATATATAGTGTGTGAACTTTGATATTTCATGTACAGTATTAAATATATATTTGGGGTACTTTGGTATTTAATGTACAGTATATAATCTATATTTGATGTACTTTCATATTTTATGTACCTAATATAAATTATATTTGATGTAATTTCATATTTTATGTACAGTATATAATGTATAGTTTGGGTACTTTGATATTTTATGAACACTATAGAATATATATCTGGTGTACTTTGATATTTTATGTACAGAATAAAATATATATTTGGTGTAGTTTCATATTTTATGTACAGTATATAATAAATGCTTTGGGTACTTTGATATTTTTTGTACAGTATAGAATATATACCTTGGGTACTTTGATATTTTATGTACAGTATATAATATATGGTTTGTGAACTTTGATATTTCATGTAGAGTATAAAATATATATTTGGGGTATATCCTCCTTTCTCCAAAGAAGACATAGAAATGACTAGGTATTTAAAAGGATACTCGTCCGAGGGCAGGACTATGGGAGGCTGCCCTGTACGGAAAAGAAGAAGAAATGGCAGTAAAGAGGGCAACCATCATTCCACCCAGCCCAAAAGGAATAAGAGAAACCCTATCTTTCAGGATTCTCAAGACACAGTTTTCATGGAGTGATAATGAAAGGAGCAACAGCCGCCTTAATATCCCAGAGAGAGCAGGTGGACCAGAAGGCAACTTAAACCAGATTGTTACTGAACCCAATGCAAACTTTCCCCAGTTCTTGCATGAGGGGTATGTACCATGCCAAGGTCTTTACTCCCATATCAACCAGACCTTGAAGGAGGCTCACTTCAACAGCCTGCAGCAGTGAGGGCAAGCTCCAACATGATGAATTAGGACTTCCTTATTCCAACCTAAACTGTGTTTATAAAAGTAATTGCATACACACCAAAAAAAAAGTCTATTGGTTTTTAAGACTAAATTTTAAGTAACAAGTTAATGGGCAGTTGTTTAATTGGGGTTTTACTTCACTGCTGTACTTTTAAAGGGGCTGTGAATAAATGTTTATGAAATTAAAAATATAAAATAAAAAAATAAAAGGATACTCGACATCACTCTTCTAGAAAAATGCAAAGCAAAGTCACAATAATCTACGGCCTCAAGCCGATATTTAAAATAGTATGACAGCTCTTCAAAAAATTTAAAATGAGATTATTATATAATCCAGCAAACCCCCTTCTGGCTATGTACTTAAAATATACAACAGAGATCTGGAAGAGATATTTGCACAACCAAATTTATTGCAATATTATTAACACAAGCCAAAAGGCAGAAACAATCCAGATGTCCCTTGACCAATGAACAGATTAATAACAAGTGGTACATACACAAAGTCGAATATTATTCAGTCTTTAAAAAGACATATTATATGATAATTCTGGAGAAGATCATGTTAATTGAAATAAGCCAGGAACAAAGTGACAGTCTATGATTCCATTCATAATCAGGTATCTTAAGTAGATAAACTCATAGGAAAAAAAAGTTAGAATGGAGCTTGTCAAGGACTGAAGAGATGGTAAAATGGGCAGTTGTTTTATTTTTTATTTTTTTATTTTTTTAAATTATACTTTAAGTTTTAGGGTACATGTGCACATTGTGCAGGTTAGTTACATATGTATACATGTGCCATGCTGGTGTGCTGCACTCACTAACTCGTCATCTAGCATTAGGTGTATTTCCCAATGCTATCCCTCCCCCCTCCCCCCACCCCACAACAGTCCCCAGAGTGTGATATTCCCCTTCCTGTGTCCATGGGATCTCATTGTTCAATTCCCACCTATGAGTGAGAATATGCGGTGTTTGCTTTTTTGTTCTTGCGATAGTTTACTGAGAATGATGATTTCCAATTTCATCCATGTCCCTACAAAGGACATGAACTCATCATTTTTTATGGCTGCATAGTATCCCATGGTGTATATGTGCCAGGTTTTCTTAATCCAGTCTATCATTGTTGGACATTTGGGTTGGTTCCAAGTCTTTGCTATTGTGAATAATGCCACAATAAACATAAGTGTGCATGTGTCTTTATAGCAGCATGATTTATAGTCCTTTGGGTATATACCCAGTAATGGGATGGCTGGGTCAAATGGTATTTCTAGTTCTAGATCCCTGAGGAATCGCCACACTGACTTCCACAATGGTTGAACTAGTTTACAGTCCCACCAACAGTGTAAAAGTGTTCCTATTTCTCCACATCCTCTCCAGCACCTGTTGTTTCCTGACTTTTTAATGATTGCCATTCTAACTGGTGTGAGATGGTATCTCATTGTGGTTTTGATTTGCATTTCTCTGATGGCCAGTGATGATGAGCATTTTTTCATGTGTTTTTTGGCTGCATAAATGTCTTCTTTTGAGAAGTGTCTGTTCATGTCCTTTGCCCACTTTTTGATGGGGTTGTTTGTTTTTTCTTGTAAATTTGTTTGAGTTCATTGTAGATTCTGGATATTAGCCCTTTGTCAGATGAGTAGGTTGCGAAAATTTTCTCCCATTTTGTAGGTTGCCTGTTCAGTCTGATGGTAGTTTCTTTTGCTGTGCAGAAGCTCTTTAGTTTAATTAGATCCCATTTGTCAATTTTGTCTTTTGTTGCCATTGCTTTTGGTGTTTTGGACATGAAGTCCTTGCCCACGTCTATGTCCTGAATGGTAATGCCTAGGTTTTCTTCTAGGGTTTTTATGGTTTTAGGTCTAATGTCTAACTCTTTAATCCATCTTGAATTGATTTTTGTATAAGGTGTAAGGAAGGGATCCAGTTTCAGCTTTCTACATATGGCTAGCCAGTTTTCCCAGCACCATTTATTAAATAGGGAATCCTTTCCCCATTGCTTGTTTTTGTCAGGTTTGTCAAAGATCAGATAGTTGTAGATATGCGGCATTATTTCTGAGGGCTCTGTTCTGTTCCATTGATCTATATCTCTGTTTTGGTACCAGTACCATGCTGTTTTGGTTACTGTAGCCTTGTAGTATAGTGTGAAGTCAGGTAGTGTGATGCCTCCAGCTTTGTTCTTTTGGCTTAGGATTGACTTGGCGATGCGGGCTCTTTTTTGGTTCCATATGAACTTTCAAGTAGTTTTTTCCAATTCTGTGAAGAAAGTCATTGGTAGCTTGATGGGGATGGCATTGAATCTGTAAATTACCTTGGGCAGTATGGCCATTTTCACGATATTGATTCTTCCTACTCATGAGCATGGAATGTTCTTCCATTTGTTTGTATCCTCTTTTATTTCCTTGAGCAGTGGTTTGTAGTTCTCCTTGAAGAGGTCCTTCACATCCCTTGTAAGTTGGATTCTTAGGTATTTTATTCTCTTTGAAGCAATTCTGAATGGAAGTTCACTCATGATTTGGCTCTCTGTTTGTCTGTTGTTGGTGTATAAGAATGCTTGTGATTTTTGTACATTGATTTTGTATCCTGAGACTTTGCTGAAGTTGCTTATCAGCTTAAGGAGATTTTGGGCTGAGACAATGGGGTTTTCTAGATATACAATCATGTCGTCTGCAAACAGGGACAATTTGACTTCCTATTTTCCTAATTGAATACCCTTTATTTCCTTCTCCTGCCTAATTGCCCTGGCCAGAATTTCCAACACTGTGTTGAATAGGAGTGGTGAGAGAGGGCATCCCTGTCTTGTGCCAGTTTTCAAAGGGAATGCTTCCAGTTTTTGCCCATTCAGTATGATATTGGCTGTTGGTTTGTCATAGATAGCTCTTATTATTTTGAAATACGTCCCATCAATACCTAATTTGTTGAGAGTTTTTAGCATGAAGGGTTGTTGAATTTTGTCAAAGGTTTTTTCTGCATCTATTGAGATAATCATGTGGTTTTTGTCTTTGGCTCTGTTTATATGCTGGATTACATTTATTGATTTGCGTATATTGAACCAGCCTTGCATCCCAGGGATGAAGCCCACTTGATCATGGTGGATAAGCTTTTTGATGTGCTGCTGGATTCGGTTTGCCAGTATTTTATTGAGGATTTTTGCATCAATGTTCATCAAGGATATTGGTCTATAATTCTCTTTTTTCATTGTGTCTGTGCGCGGCTTTGGTATCAGAATGATGCTGGCCTCATAAAATGAGTTAGGGAGGAATCCCTCTTTTTCTATTGTTTGGAATAGTTTCAGAAGGAATGGTACTAGTCCCTCCTTGTACCTCTGGTAGAATTCAGCTGTGAATCCATCTGGTTCTGGACTCTTTTTGGTTGGTAAACTATTGATTATTGCCACAATTTCAGATCCTGTTATTGGTCTATTCAGAGATTCAACTTCTTCCTGGTTTAGTCTTGGGAGAGTGTATGTGTCGAGGAATTTATCCATTTCTTCTAGATTTTCTAGTTTATTTGCGTAGAGGTGTTTGTAATATTCTCTGATGGTAGTTTGTATTTCTGTGGGATCGGTGGTGATATCGCCTTTATCATTTTTTATTGCGTCTATTTGATTCTTCCCTCTTTTTTTCTTTATTAGTCTTGCTAGCAGTCTATCAATTTTGTTGATCCTTTCAAAAAACCAGCTCCTGGATTCATTGATTTTTTGAAGGGTTTTTTGTGTCTCTATTTCCTTCAGTTCTGCTCTGATTTTAGTTATTTCTTGCCTTCTGCTAGCTTTTGCATGTGTTTGCTCTTGCTTTTCTAGTTCTTTTAATTGTGATGTTATGGTGTCAATTTTGGATCTTTCCTGCTTTCTCTTGTGGGCATTTAGTGCTATAAATTTCCCTCTACACGCTGCTTTGAATGTGTCCCAGAGATTCTGGTATGTTGTGTCTTTGTTCTCATTGGTTTCAAAGAACATCTTTATTTCTGCCTTCATTTCGTTATGTACCCAGTAGTCATTCAGGAGCAGGTTGTTCAGTTTCCATGTAGTTGAGCAGTTTTGAGTGAGAATCTTAATCCTGAGTTCTAGTTGAATTGCACTGTGGTCTGAGAGATAGTTTGTTATTATTTCTGTTATTTTACATTTGCTGAGGAGAGCTTTACTTCCAACTATGTGGTCAATTTTGGAATAGGTGTGGTGTGGTGCTGAAAAAAAATGTATATTCTGTTGATTTGGGGTGGAGAGTTCTGTAGATGTCTATTAGGTCCACTTGGTGCAGAGCTGAGTTCAATTCCTGGGTATCCTTGTTGACTTTCTGTCTCATTGATCTGTCTAATGTTGACAGTGGGGTGTTAAAGTCTCCCATTATTAATGTGTGGGAGTCTAAGTCTTTTTGTAGGTCACTCAGGACTTGCTTTATGAATCTTGGTGCTCCTGTATTGGGTGCATATATAGTTAGGATAGTTAGCTCTTCTTGTTGCATTGATCCCTTTACCATTATGTAGTGGCCTTCTTTGTCTCTTTTGATCTTTGTTGGTTTAAAGTCTGTTTTATCAGAGACGAGGATTGCAACCCCTGCCTTTTTTTGTTTTCCATTTGCTTGGTAGATCTTCCTCCATCCCTTTATTTTGAGCCTATGTGTGTCTCTGCACGTGAGATGGGTTTCCTGAATACAGCAAACTGATGGGTCTCTTTATCCAATTTGCCAGTCTGTGTCTTTTAATTGGAGAATTTAGTCCATTTACATTTAAAGTTAATACTGTTATGTGTGAATTTGATCCTGTCATTATGATGTTAGCTGGTTATTTTGCTCGTTAGTTGATGCAGTTTCTTCCTATTCTCGATGGTCTTTACATTTTGGCATGATTTTGCAGCGGCTGGTACCGGTTGTTCCTTTCCATGTTTAGTGCTTCCTTCAGGAGCACTTTTAGGGCAGGCCTGGTGGTGACAAAATCTCTCAGCATTTGCTTGTCTGTGAAGTATTTTATTTCTCCACTTATGAAGCTTAGTTTGGCTGGATATGAAATTCTGGGTTGAAAATTCTTTTCTTTAAGAATGTTGAATATTGGCCCCCACTCTCTTCTGGCTTGTAGGGTTTCTGCCGAGAGATCCGCTATTAGTCTGATGGGCTTCCCTTTGAGGGTAATCCGACCTTTCTCTCTGGCTGCCCTTAACATTTTTTCCTTCATTTCAACTTTGGTGAATCTGACAATTATGTGTCTTGGAGTTGCTCTTCTCGAGGAGTATCTTTGTGGCGTTCTCTGTATTTCCTGAATCTGAACGTTGGCCTGCCCTGCTAGATTGGGGAAGTTCTCCTGAATAATATCCTGCAGAGTGTTTTCCAACTTGGTTCCATTCTCCCCATCACTTTCAGGTACACCAATCAGATGTAGATTTGGTCTTTTCACATAGTCCCGTATTTCTTGGAGGCTTTGTTCATTTCTTTTTATTCTTTTTTCTCTAAACTTCCCTTCTCGCTTCATTTCATTCATTTCATCTTCCATTGCTGATACCCTTTCTTCCAGTTGATCGCATCGGCTCCTGAGGCTTCTGCATTCTTCACGTAGTTCTCGAGCCTTAGTTTTCAGCTCCATCAGCTCCTTTAAGCACTTCTCTGTATTGGTTATTCTAGTTATACATTCTTCTAAATTTTTTTCAAAGTTTTCAACTTCTTTGCCTTTGGTTTGAATGTCCTCCCATAGCTCAGAGGAATTTGATCGTGTGAAGCCTTCTCTCAGCTCGTCAAAGTCATTCTCCATCCAGCTTTGTTCCGTTGCTGGTGAGGAACTGCGTTCCTTTGGAGGAGGAGAGGCGCTCTGCATTGTAGAGTTTCCAGTTTTTCTGTTCTGTTTTTTTCCCCATCTTTGTGGTTTTATCTACTTTTCGTCTTTGATGATGGTGATGTACAGATGGGTTTTCGGTGTGGATGTCCTTTCTCTTTGTTAGTTTTCCTTCTAACAGACAGGACCCTCAGCTGCAGGTCTGTTGGAATACCCTGTTGTGTGAGGTGTCAGTGTGCCCCTGCTGGGGGGTGCCTCCCAGTTAGGCTGCTCGGTGGTCAGGGGTCAAGGACCCACTTGAGGAGGCAGTCTGCTGGTTCTCAGATCTCCAGCTGCGTGCTGGGAGAACCACTGCTCTCTTCAAAGCTGTCAGAAAGGGACATTTAAGTCTGCAGAGGTTACTGCTGTCTTTTTGTTTGTCTGTGCCCTGCCCCCAAAGTTGGAGCCTACAGAGGCAGGCGGGCCTCCTTGAGCTGTGGTGGGCTCCACCCAGTTCGAGCTTCCCGGCTGCTTTGTTTACCTAAGCAAGCCTGGGCAATGGCGGGTGCCCCTCCCCCAGCCTCGCTGCCACCTTGCAGTTTGATCTCAGACTGCTGTGCTAGCAATCAGTGAGATTCCGTGGGCGTAGGACCCTCCGAGCCAGGTGTGGGATATAATCTCGTGGTGCGCCGTTTTTTAAGCCGGTGTGAAAAGCGCAATATTCGGGTGGGAGTGACCCGATTTTCCAGGTGCGTCCGTCACCCCTTTCTTTGACTTGGAAAGGGAACTCCCTGACCCCTTGCGCTTCCCAAGTGAGGCAATGCCTCGCCCTGCTTCGGCTCGCGCACGGTGCGTGCACCCACTGGCCTGCGCCCACTGTCTGGCACTCCCTAGTGAGATGAACCCGGTACCTCAGATGGAAATGCAGAAATCACCCGTCTTTTGCCTCCCTCAGGCTGGGAGCTGTAGACCGGAGCTGTTCCTATTCGGCCATCTTGGCTCCTCCCTCTTGCTTAACTGTTAAAGGGTTAATGTTCTATCTAAAACTTGGAGTCAGCTGATATAAAAGTTTTAACTCTTAAGTGGAGATAGGGATGCTATGTAGCAAGATTGCTGGCCTGCATGCATGGCTTAACACTTGCCTTGCACTGCCTTAAATTGTGACAATAATTTGGTATTATATTGCCACAGAGTCAGTTTTGTCAGTCTTATGATCTCTATTTTAACATCAGTGCTGATGATTTGTTGTACCTAAAGAGCAAACAGAGGTACAACAGCAAACAGGTGTGTAACAAGGCCTGTCTGTCTCCTCCTGTTCTGTGTGGGAGATGCTGATGGGAGAAGAAAAGACACACACACAATACCTTTAAGGGTAAACAACTTTTTTATCCCATGTAAATGGCATTGCAGATATCTATATCTATATCTATATTTTTATCTATCTATCTATATCTATGTATGTATGTATCTATCTATCTATATCTATATCTATGTATATGTACTCACCAGGCTATACAGCATTCATGGCCAGATGGGGAAGCAACAGCCTAGGCTCCAGAGTTGGCTACTACACCCACCAGACTATGGAGGATTCACTTTTCAGCTTCAAGATCACGGCTGGAAGCTCAGGGACTTCCCACATTCCAGGATAGAAACTCCTCCAGTTCTCCCTCTTGGCAATTGAATGGTCGGGGGGAACTGACCTTAGTGAAAATTGGGCATCTAAATTAGTGGAATTTGAACCTTTGACTGTGCATGAAGTGCTGCAGGGGATTTCAGTCAGCAAAGGAGATGCCAGGGGGATCTCTTAGCATAGATGGTGTTTGCTTACTGCTTATAAGTTAATGTGTTGAGATAGAAATCAATTGCTACAAGATAAATGTAAGCTGGAAAAAGAAAACACTACTCTGACTTCCAGACTGGCCCTGGCTCAATTTCAGGCCTATGCCTTGACTGATCAGGCTCAAAGCTAACAGATTATTGATGAAAAAAACAGCTGTGCAAGTGGTGTGGTCAGGGTAAAACTGAAGAACGAGTCAGCTGGGGTTTGGAGTGGGTAAAAACCCAGTTCCTATCTGAAGAATGGGAAATTAGCCTTTACAAATTTCAAGAACCTGCACAAACTATAAAATTGCTTTGCATCCCATGGAAAGCAAGGAAAAAGTCCATTTTACCAAAGGCTATGGTTAAAATACTAGAATTTGCAACCCCTACCACTAAAAAGGAGGCCCAGAAATTTATTGGCTTGTTTGAATTCTGGAGACATCTTCCCGATTTGGGTAACATCTCACAACCTCTGTATGCAGTCACTAGAAAATATAATGACTTTCACTGGAGGTAGAAAGAGAACACAGCCTTTGAGCAAGCTAAGCAAGCAGTGCATCTGGCCCTGGATGGCCCATATGGGATGGGCCAGTAGAATTGCAAACAACTGTCCTGGATTAACATGCTAATTGGAGCCTTTGGCAGAAACAAGATGGGAAGAGGGGACTCTTGGGGTTTCAAACCCGGAAGCTGCCAGAGGCTGGCGAAGCTTATAATCCTTTTGAGAAGCGACTGTTAGCTTGCTATCGTGCTTTGCTGGAAATGGAGACTCTCTGCTTCAACCATGATGTCTTCATAAGGCCTGAAATTCCTATTATGACTTGGGTCATGAGGTCCACCAAAACCCATCGAATAGGGCATGCTGAAGAAAGTAGCATCACATAATGGAATGGTATATACAAGATAGGGCAAAGCCAGGACCAAAGGGGGTATCGTTTTTAAAAAATTTGCCAACTCAGAAAGCCACCGAACAAGTCCTGCAGGCAGGGAAAGAGACCTGCCTCATCCAAAGCATCAGAAACATGCTTGATTTACTGATGGATCTGCCAAATACATTGGTGGGACCCGATGCGGGGAGGCCGTGGCTTATAATCCTGTTAAAAACATAAGTATTTCTGATGAAGGAAGGGATGGGAGCAGCCAGCTGGCTGAGCTAGTAGCCATCTTCCCAGCTATTCAGAAGAAGGCCAGAGGGATTTGACACTTGTATACCAACTCTTGGTCAGTAGCAAATGGTCTTACTACCTAGATGCCTCAATGGCAATGAGGCAAATTGTTAATTGGGAATAAAGAGGTTTGGGGAAAGAATACAGGGAAGATATCTGAATCCCTGTGCACCCTACCATTAACACTGTTATGTTGATGCTCATTCATCTCTGCTTTCTCTTGGCAGACTAATTAATCAGCAGGCAGGTCAACAGGCCAAAATTTCCACCATAACTGCAAACTCAAATGTGGATGAATGGATTACAACACGTCCAAGCATTGGAATGAGAGGCATTATAGTGTATGGTGGTGTAATTGATAGTGATTACCGGTGAGAGTTAAAAATCTTTTAACACAATACCACCGAAAATTCTTTTGCCATAAAGCCACAGATGCAGATTGCTCAGCTACTGGTAGTACCGTGTCACCAATTAACCCCCGAGGAAATTTCTGCCCCAGTAGGAACATAATATAGAACTGGAGGATTTGGGTCCACCAAAGTGGGCAGCTTAAATCCTGGGTCCACAGTATGGGGGCAGAAAATGAGGGGAGTAGTAAAATTTTAAAAACAATGTTATGTTCCCCTCTGTTTTTGTTATTAAAAGGAATAGCCTATCGAATGATGGTCAGCACCTTCTTCTTTGTGTCTGAGGCCAAGAATGCATTTAGCAACTGGGTAGCCACCGCTGCAAAAGAAGTCAACTGCAGTTAGTGCTGCCTTATAGTCGAATTGCCACAGGCTGCAGGGAATGGGCTCCCTTAAAAAATTGTCTCTGCCAACATTTCCAAGTGGTTACATCACTGCCAAGGGGGTCAGGAGAATAGCACCTGTAATCCCACCTGGACTTCTTTTAACCAAATCAAAGAGTCTATTTTTGCCCAAGTCTGACAAAAGGAGAAATCCACTTTTGCAATGCATCAAAAGCCTTTGTATCCTACCCAATATACCTGGAAAGACATATACATGGAACCTACCATACCGGTAGCTGAACTCCATATGGCACCGCACCCCCCCTTTGTCTGGAGGCCTTAAATGGCTCTTTTAATGTTACTCTGGGGCTTCTCCCACCAGACAATTGTCAACACATACTCCAAATCAACAGCATTGTCCCCAGTGAAACACAACCTCTTTCCTAAATCTAGATGCTTCCAAACATCACTGGTTACAAATGCGCCAGAATCCCTGATGGGGTGTACCCTATAACAGTGTTCTCCTCTGCCACTGATACAATTCTGCTTCAGCAAAAAATTTAAATATTAAGCTTACATGTAGAAAAAGCTCTTAATGGTAGTAGCACTGGACTTATGTTGTTATCAGAGGAATTTGCTCAGTTGTGTACTGTTGTGTTGCAAAATCAAATGGCATTAGGTATGTTTACCGCAGCCCAAGGAGCTTTTCAGCCTTGCTGCATACTGAATTTTGTGTGTGTATCCCTGACAGTTCTCACAATATTACTCTCCTCGCACAAGACATGCAAGGACAAGCAAAACAAAATCTAACTGTCAGGACCCCATTATGAATTGGCTGTCCAACTGGCATTGGCGTTGGCCTTGGTGGGTGCGGTTTTTATTAACTGTGTTTTAATTCTCCTCTGCTTACCCTGCTTCTGTAACCTCTACCAATTATGTATTCCTCGTATATCTGTAAGGGTATTTTCCTACATTTGAGTATCAGTTGGGACCGAATATGCAGAAAAAGTTAAATAATATATTTAAACTCAATTGAACATGGACACAAATAATGGTCACCAAGTCTCGGAATAGGTTTTGTGAGCCCCTTGAGGCATTCATCCAGCACTGTTTCAGAGAAATCTCTATTTCAATCTATTCCTATACTTTAGTTATTGAAAAACAACAGACAACGGCAAAAGCAAATTGACCTTTTTGTGTTCCTTTGTGCATGGATGAGTGGCTGACTCTGGAGCCCAGGCTGTTGCTTCTCGGTCTGGTGATGAATCCTGCATAGTCTATCCTCATATATATATATATATACACACATTTTTTTCCTTCTCCCCTTCCCACTGCAATTTGCTTATTGTATCAATTTGCTTATTCTATCATTTGCTTATTATATCTGAAATGCCATTTATGTGGGATCGAGTTTGTTGACCTTTAAAGGTATTGTGTGTGTGTGTTTTCTTCTTCCCTGGAGCATCTCCTGCACATAACACCTCTCTTGCTGTCATAGCCAGAAATTCAGTTTTTAAGTTTTTTTCTGGGGTCTTCTTGCTCAAGAGGAAGTATGTTCAGTTGATACGGGGCTTAGAATTTTATTTATAGCTTTTATTACATTCTAAAACCCCCAGCAGAAACAAGTCTTAACAAACACAGATTTTAATTTCTGAACATTCTTCTAATAAGTTTTGCACAGGTAGCGGAACAACTAAAAAAACTGTTTTTTGCATTGATGGTCTACCTCATTACAATTTAACCTCTAAAGGGTGTTTTAGCCAGCTCTAGAGTCTGCTACAGTTAAGGTGAATTTACTGCTTCTTCCCATAATAAAGAATGGTATTTTAAAATAACATAACTTCTATGGCATATATTTTTAAAGCATGACCACAATTTGAATAATTAGAACATTTAAAAATTCGAAATATTGTTATACTAACACTGCACCAAAATTTATCCTTCCAATGATGACAGGGAATTTTTAATAGTTGTTATTTTTATAGTAAAATTAAACTTTAATAAAATAACTGACTTTCAAACTTCAGCAAGAAGACACATATTCAGCCAGAGATATCAGTTCCCCTTTAGAAAAAAATACTCACTTCTCATTAAAATCTCTCTGTATCTTACTGATTTCAGATAGAATTTAAATTTCACCTTAATAACAGAAACAAAAGAACTAGTTAATCTAACAAAAACTAATAAACGTATGCCCAAATTTACTGGTAGAATCATGGGTACGTCATATAATAGTAACATTCTACCAGTTTTAAGTAAAATAAATAAGGAAATAATCTTAACAGTACAACCTACCAGGAGGGGCGTGTCCCCACTCCCAGGTGAGTGGGAACCCTGCGCTCTGGGGGGGGTTGCGCCTCAGCCTCTGGCACCTGTTGTTGGCAGCGTCGCCGTTGCAGGCACAGGGCAGGCGTTGGGGGACGTGCAGTGGGCCAGGCCCAGGCACGTCCTTTGCCAGGGGCTGGGCAGGTGCGGAGAGGGGCGGAGCGGTGCTGCCCTGGTCGAGGGAGCCTCCAGCTCTGGACAGTTTGCCGCCCCTGCCTCAGGAGGGCGCTGAAGGAGCTGAGTGAGGAAGCGGAGGGACGAGGGGATTCAGGCCAGGCCAGGTGGCCCTTTAGCCCTGGGTGATGCAGGAGGGGCTGTGGAAGACCAGAGAAGACCCGGAGCAGAAACTGGGAACTGATATCTCTGGCTGAATATTTGTCCTCTTGCTGAAGTTTGAAAGTCAGTTATTTCATTAAAGTTTAATTTTATTATAAAAATAGCAACTATTAAAAATTCCCTGTAGTCACTGGAATGATAATTTTTGGTGCCGTTTCAGCATAATAATCTTTGGAGTTTTTAGATATTCTAGTTATTCAAATTGCGGCCATGTTTCAAAATATATGCCATATAATTTTATGGCATCCGCCTCTGTGTCCCTGTTGGCTCAGGAAACGTGCTTCTTCCTCCTTCCGCAGGCTCGGATCAGGCCGCCCTTCCTCCTGGAGTCTGAGGCGGGCGTGGGGATAGCCTGCCAGCGAATAGCCTGACAATGCCCGGCCTGTGCCCTGTGCTCAGCGTGGGGTCCTGGCTGGTGCCCCTCAGAGCCCCTCACAAAGTAGCGTGACAGGTGTGGAAGGACCCAGCACCCGGCAGCGGTGAGCGGATGGATGCTCCAGGGATGTGGGGCAGCTGGCAGTCAAGATCCCACTGCCAAATTCAATGGCATAACGTTGCATATTTTTCCCTTATATTTTTGTGTAGGAGTTTTACAGCTTTCAGCCTTACATTTGTATTTTCTTAACATAGGATTCCAGAACAATGCTACGAGGGTCTGAATGCCTGTCCCACACGTAGGATTCCAGAACACATCAGCTGTGGTCTGAATGATTGCCCCTCACATATGATTCCAGAACAGTCCTGCTGCGGTCTGAATGATTGTACCTCACACAGGGTTCTAGAGCACTCCTCCCCTAGTCTGAATGTTTGTCCGTCAGATAAGATTCCAGAACACTGCTGCTGGGTTGTGAGTGTTTGTCCCTCACATACAATTCCAGAACACTGCTAGGGGGGTCTGAATGTTTGTACCTCACATAAGGTTCCAGAACACTGTTATGAGGGTCTGAATCTTTGTCCCTCACATAGGACTCCAGAACACTCCTGCTGTGTTCTGAATGTGATTTCCTAACATAGGATTACAGAACAATGCTACGAGGGTCTGAATGCTTGTCCCACAAGTAGGATTCCAGAACACTCCAGCTGTGGTCTGAATGATTGTCCCTCACATAGGATTCCAGAACACTGCTGCTGGGTTCTGAGTGTTTCTCCCTCACATAGGATTCCACAACAGTGCTACAAGGGTCTCAATGTTTGTTCCGCACATTGGACTCCAGAACACTCCTGCTGTGTTCTGAATGTATTTTCCTAACCTAGGATTCCAGAACAGTGCTACGAGAGTCTGAATGCTTGTCCCACACGTAGGATTCCAGGAGATGCCAGCTGTGGTCTGAATGATGGTCCCTCATATAAGATTCCAGAACAATGCTGCTGGGTTCTGAGTGTTTGTCCCTCACATAGGACTGCAGAACACTGCTACGAGGGTCTGAATGATTGTACCTCACATAGGATTACGGAACACTCCTGCTCTGGTCTGAATGTTTGTCCCTCAGATGGGATTCCAGAACACTGAGTTTGGGATCTGAGTGTTTGTTCCTCACGTATGACTCCAGAACACTGCCTCATGGTTGTAAATGTTTGTCCATCACATAGGATTCCAGAACACTGCTATGAGGGATTGAAAGTTTGTCCCGCACATAGGACTCCAGAACATTCCTGCTCTGCTCTGAATGTTTGTCCCTCAGATAGGATTCCAGAACACAGCTTCTGGGTTCTGAGTATTTGTCCCTCACATAGGATTCCAGAACACTGCTACGTGGGCCTAAATGTTTGTCCCTCACATAGGAGTCCAGAACACTGCTGCTTTGGTCTGAATGTTTGTCCCTCACTTAGGATTCCAGAACACTCCTTCTGTGGTCTGAAAGTTTCTCCCTCACAAAGGATTACAGAACACTGCTCCTGGTTTCTGAGTGTTTGTCTTTTACATAGGATTCCAGAACACTGCTACGAGGGTCTGAATGTTTGTCCCTCATATAGGATTCCAGAACACTACTGCTGTGGTCTGAATACTTGACCCTTATATAGGATTCCAGAACATTCCTCCTGTCATCTGGGTGTTTGTGCCTCACAAGGGTTTCCAGATCTATCCTGCTGTGTTCTGAATGTTTCCCCCTCAGATAGGATTCCAAAACATTTCTTCTCTGGTCTGAGTGTTTCTCCCTCAAATAGGATTCCAAAACACTGCTACTGGAGTCTGAATGTTTGTCCCTCACATAGGATTCCAGAACACTGCTACGAGGGTCTGAATTATTCTCCCTGACGTAGCATTCCAGAACACTCCTGCTGTGTTCCGAATGTTTGTCTCTCACTCAGGATTCCAGAACACTCGTGCTGTGGTCTGAAAGTTTGTCCCTCACTTAGGATTCCAGAACACTGCTGTTGGTTTCTGAGTGTTTGTACTTAACGTAAGATTCCAGAGCACAGCTACTTGGGTCTAAATGTTTGTCCCTCAGATAGGATTCCAGAACACTGCTAAGAGGTTCTGAATGTTTGTCCCTCACATAGCATTTAAGAACACTGCTACGAGGGTCTGAATGTTTTCCCTCACATAGGATCGAAGAGCACTGCTGCTGGGATCTGAATGTTTTTGGGCACATAGGATTCCAGAACTCTCCTGATGTGGTCTTTATGTTTGTCCCTCACATAGAATTCCAGAACACTGCTGCTGAGTTCTGCTTGTTTGTCCCTCATTTAGGATTCAAGAACACTCCTGCTGTGTTCTGAATGTGTGTCTCTCACATAGGATTCCAGAACATTGCCAGGAGGGTCTAAATGTTTCTCTGTCACCTAGGATTATAGAACACTGCTGCTGGGTTCTGAGTGTTTCTCCCTCACTTTGGATTCCAGAACAGAGCTTCGGGGGTCTGAATATCAGTCCCTCACATAGGACTCCAAAACACTCCTGCTGTGGTCGGAAAGTTTGTCCCTCACATTGGATTCCAGAACGCTGATGCTGTGGTCTGAATGTTTGCCCCTCATATAGGATTCCAGAATACTCCTGATGTAATCTGAATGTTTGTACCTCACATAGGATTCCTGAACACTCCTGCTGTGGTCCGAATGTTTGTCCCTCACATGGCATTCCAGAGCACTGCTGCTGGGGTCTGAATGTTTGTCCTTGACATAGGATTTCACAACACTGCTAAGTGGGTCTGAATGTTTGTCCCTTACTTAGGATACCAGAAAACTCCTGCTGTACTGTGAATGTTTATTCCTCAAATACAATTCCAGAACACTGCTTCTGTAGTATGAAAGGCTGTCCCTCACAGAGGATTCCAGAGCACTGGTAGGAAATTCTGAATGTGAGTCCCTAACATAGGATTCCAGAACACTGCTGCTGGGTTCTGAGGGTTTGTACCTGCCTTAGGATTTCAGGACACTGTTACGAGGGTCTGATTGTTTCTCCCTCACATAGGATTCCAGAACACTGCTGCTGGGTCTGAATGTTTGTCCCTCACATAGGATTCCAGAACACTGCTAAGAGTGTCTCAATGTTTGTCCCTCACATAGGATTCCAAAACACTGCTACGAGGTTCTGAATGTGAGTCCCTCACATAAGATTCCAGAACACTGCTGCTGTGGTCTGATTGTTTGTCCCTCACATAGGATTCCAGAACACTGCCGCTGTGGTCTGAATGTTTGTCCCTCACATAGGATTCCAGAACACTCCTGCTGTGGTCTGAATGTTTGTCCCTCACTTAGGATTCCAGAACAGTACTGTGGGGTTCTGAGTGTTTGTCCCTCACGTATGATTCCAGAACACTGCTACTTGGGTCTAAATATTTGTCCCTCACATAGGATTCCAGAACACTGCTGCTGGGGTCTGAATGTTTGTCCCTTACATAGGAGTCCAGAACACTCCTGTTGTGGTCTGAATGTTTGTCCCTCACATAAGATTCCAGAACACTGCTGCTGGATTCCGAGTGTTTGTCCCTCACATAGGATTCCAGAACACTCCTACGGGGGTCTGAATGTTTGTCC
The DNA here is from genome assembly GCF_000001405.40 of Homo sapiens. NCBI lineage: Eukaryota > Metazoa > Chordata > Mammalia > Primates > Hominidae > Homo > Homo sapiens. The sequence continues at coordinate 62,298 of NW_021160026.1, read as the reverse complement.
CTCACATAGGATTCCAGAACATTGCTAAGAGGGTCCGCATTATTGTCCCTCACATAAGATTCCAGAACAATGCTAACAGGGTCTGAATGTTTGTCCCTCACATAAGATTCCAGAACCCTGCTGCAGTGGTCTGAATGGCTGATCCTCACATAGGACTCCAAAACACTCCTGCTGTGGTCTGGGTGTTTGTTCCTCAGGTGAGATTCCAGAACAATCTTGCTGTGGTCTGAATGTGTCTCCCTCACATAGGATTCCAAAACATTCCTGCTGTGATCTGAGTGATTGTTCCTCAAATAGGATTCCAGAACACTGCTACTCGGGTCTGAAAGTTTGTCCCTCACATAGGATTCCAGAACACTGCTACCAGGGTCTGAATTATTCTCCCTCACATAGGATTCCAGAACACTCCTGCTGTGATCTGAAAGTGTGTCCCTCCCCTAGGATACCAGAACACTGCTGTTGTGTTCTGAGTGTTTTTCCCTCATGTAAGATTCCACAACACTGCTGTTGTGTTCTGAGTGTTTTTCCTTCATGTAAGATTCCAGAACACTGCTACGTGGGTCTAAATGATTGTGCTTCAAATACGATTCCAGAACACTTCTTCTGGGGTCTGAAAGTTTGTCCCTCACATCGGATTCCAGAACACTCCTGCAGTGGTCTGAAAGTTTGTCCCTCACATAGTATTCCAGAACAATGATGCTGTGTTCTGAATGTGTGTCCCTCACATAGGATTCCAGAACACTCCTTCTGTGATCTGAATGTTTTTCCCTGACAAAGGATTCCAGAACACTGCTGCTGGGTTCTGATTGTTTGTTCTTCACTTAGGATTCCAGAACACTGATATGAGGGTCTGATGTTTGTCCCTCATATAGGATTCCAGAACACTGCTGCTGGGTTCTGACTGTTTCTCCTTCACATAGGATTCCAGAACACTGCCTTGACGGTCTGAATGATTATACCTCACATAGGATTCCAGAACACTCCTGCCCCGGTCTGAATGTTTGTCCCTCATATGGGATTCCACAACACTGCTGCTGGGTTTTGAGTGTTTTTCCCTCACATAGGATTCCAGGACACTTCTAAGAGGGTCTTAATGTTTTTCCCTCACATAAGATTCCAGAACACTGCTACGAGAGTCTGAAAGTTTGTCCCTCACATAGGATTTCTGAACACTGCTATGAATGGTCTGAATGTTTGTCCCACACAAGGGAGTCCAGAACACTCCAGCGGTGTTCTGAATGTATTTTCCTCACATAGGATTCCAGAACAATGCTATGAGGGTTTGCATGCTTGCCCCACACGTAGGATTCCAGAACATCCCAGCTGTGGTCTGAATGATTGTCCTCACATAGGATTCCAGAACACTCCTGCTGTGGTGTGGGGGTTTGCGCCACACATGGAATTCCAGAACAATCCTGCTGTGGTTTGAATGTTTTTCCCTCACATAGGACTCCAGAACACTCCTGCTGTGGTCTGAGTTTTCTCCCTCAAATAGGATTCCAGAGCACTGCTAAGGCGGTCTGAATGTTTGTCCCTCACGTAACATTCCAGAGCACTGCTACGAGGTTCTGAATGTTTATCCCTTCCATAGGATTCCAGAACCCTACTGCTGTGGTCTGAGTGGTTGACCCTCACATATGATTCCAGAACACTACTGCTGTGGTCTGGGTGTTTGTGCTTCGCATGGGATTCCAGAACAATCCTGCTGTGGTCTGAATGTTTCTCACTCACATAGGATTCCAAAACATTCCTGATGTGGTCTGAGTGTTTGTCCCTCAAATAGGACTCCATAACACTACCATTGGGGTATGAATGTTTGTTCCTCACATAGGATTCCAGAACACTGTTACGAGGGTCTGAATTATTCTCCCTCACATAGCTTTCCAGAATACGCCTGCTGTGGTCTGAATGTTTGTCCCTCAATTAGGATTCCAGAACACTGCCGTTGGGTTCTGAGTGTCCGTGCCTCACGTATGATTCCAAAACACTGCTACGTGGGTCTAAATGTTTGTCCCACACATAGGACTCTAGAACACCGCTATGAGGGTCTGAATATTTATCCCTCACATAGGACTTCAAAACACTCCTGCCGTGTTCTCAATGTATTTTCCTCACATAGGACTCCAGAACAATGCGACGAGGGTCTGGATGCTTGTCCTACCCGTAGGATTCCAGAACACCCCAGCTGTGGTCTGCATGTTTGTCCCTCAGATAGGATTCCAGAACACTGCTGCTTGATTTTGAGTGTTTGTCCCTCAGAGATGATTCCAGAACACTGCTATGAGGGTCTGAATGTTTGTTCCTCACATGAGATTCGAGAACACTCCTGCTGTGGTCTGAATGTTTGTCCCAAACCTAAGATTCCAGAACACTGTTGCTGGGTTCTGAGTGTTTGTCTCTCACATAGGATTCCAGAACAAATGTACAAGGGTCTGAATTATTTTCCCTCACATAGGATTCCAGAACACTCCTGCTCTTGTCTGAATATTTGTCCTTCACAAAGGATTCCAGAACACTACTGCTGTGATCTGAATGGTTGACCCTCACACAGGATTCCAGAACATTTCTGCTGTGGTCTGGGTGTTTGTGCCTCACATGGGATTCCAGAACAATCCTCCTGTGGTCTTAATGTTTCTACTTCACATAAGATTCCAAAACATTTATGCTGTGGTCTGAGTGTTTGTCCCTCAAAAAGGATTCCAGAATCCTGTTAGGAGGGTCTGAATTATTCTCTCTGATAGGATTCCAGAACACGGCTACGAGAGTCTGAATGTTTGTCCCTCACAAAGTACTCCAGAAGACTCCTGATGTGTTCTGAATGTATTTTCCTGACATAGGATTCCAGAACAATGCTACGAGTTTCTGAATGCTTGTCCCACACATAGGATTCCAGAACACCCCAGCTGTGGTCTGAATGATTGTCCCTCTCATAGGATTCCAGAACACTGCTGCTGTGTTTTGAGATTTTCTCCCTCACATAGGATTCCAAAAGACTGCTACGAGGTTCTGAATTATTCTCCATCACATGGGATTCCAGAACACCCCTGCTGTCTTCTGAATGTTTCTCCCTCACATAGTGTTCCATAACACTACTGCTGGGTTCTGAGAGTTTTTCCCTCACATAGGATTCCAGAACACTGCTACGAGGGTCAGAATGTTTGTCCAACCCATTTAATTCCAGAACAATCCCGCTCTTGTCTGAATGTTTGTCCCTCACATAAGATTCCAGAACTCTGCAGCTGGGTTCTGATTCTTTGTCTCTCACGTAGGATTCCAGAACACTTCTACGAGGGTCTGAATGTCTGTCCCTCACATAAGATTCCAGAACACTGCTGCTGGGATATGAGTGTTTGTCCCTCACATAGGATTACAGAACACGGCTACGAGGGTCTGTATTTTTCTCCTTGACATAGGATTCCAGAACACTCCTGCTGTGGTCTGGATGTTTCTCCCTCACTTAGGATTCCAATACAATACTGCTGTGGTCTGAATGGTTGTCTCTCACATAGGATTCCAGAACAATCATGCTGTCATCTGAGTGTTTGTCCCTCAAATAGGATTCCAGAACACTGCTATGAAGGTCTGTATTATTCTCCCTCACATAGGATTCCAAAACAATGCTAGAAGGGCCTGAATGTTTTTCCCACACTTAGGATTCCGGAACACCCCAGCTGTGGTCTGAATGACTGTCCCTAACATAGGATTCCTGAAAACTGCTGCTGGGTTCTGAGTGTTTTTCCCTCACATAGGATTCCAAAACACTGCTACGAGGGTCTGAATGTTTGTCCCTTACAAAGGATTCCAGAACACTACTGCTGTGGTCTGAATATTTGATCCTCACATAGGATTCCAAAACACAGCTGCTGGGTTATTAGTGTTTCCCCCTCGCATAGGATTCCAGAACACTGCTAAGAGGGTCTGAATGTTTGTCCCTCACATAAGATTCCTGAGCACTGCTACGAGGGTCTGAATGTTTCTGCTTCACATAGCATTTCCAGAACACCAATGCTGTGGTCTGAATGGTTGAACCTCACATAGGATTCCAGAACACTCCTGCTGTGGTATGGATGTTTGTGTCTCACATGGGATTCCAGAACAGTCATGCTGTCATCTGAGTGTTTGTCCCTCAAATAGGATTCCAGAACCCTGCTACGAAGGTCTGTATTATTCTCCCTCACATAGGATTCCAGAACACGGCTACGAGGGTCTGAAGATTTGTCCCACACATAGGACTCCAGAACACTCCTGCTGTGTTCTGAATGCATTTTACTAACATAGGATTCCAGAACAATGCTACGAGGGTCTGAATGCTTGTCCCACACGTAGGATTCCGGAACACCCCAGCTGTGGTCTGAATGACTGTCCCTAACATAGGATTCCTGAACACTGCTGCTGGGTTCTGAGTGTTTTTCCCTCACATAGGATTCCAAAACACTGCTACGAGGGTCTGAATGTTTGTTCCTCACAAAGGATTCCAGAACACTACTGCTGTGGTCTATTTGACCCTCACATAGGAATCCAAAACACTGCTGCTGGGTTCTGAGTGTTTCTCCCTCGCATAGGATTCCAGAACACTGCTACGAAAGTCTGAATGTTTGTCCCTCACATAAGATTCCAGAACACTACTGCTGTGGTCTGAATGGTTGACCCACCCAAAGGATTCCAGAACACTCCTGCTGTGGTCTGTGGGTTTTTGCCTCACATGGGATTCCAGAAGAATCCTGCTGTGATCTGAGTGTTTCTCCTTCAAATAGGATTCCTGAACACTGCTACGAGGGTCTGAATTATTCTCCCTCACATAGGATTCCAGAACACTCCTGTTATGGTCTGAATGTTTGTCCCTCACTTAAGATTCCAGAACACTGATGTTGGGTTCTGACTGTTTGTCCCTCAAGTACGATTCCAGAACCCTGCTACGTGGGTCTAAATGTATGTCCCTCACATAGGATTCCTGAAGACTCCTACAAGGGTCTGAATGTTTCTCCCGCACATAGGACTCCAGAACACTGCTATGAGGGTCTGAATGCTTGTCCCACACGTAGGATTAAAGAACAACTCAGCTGTGGTCTGAATGATTGTCCCTAACATGGGATTCCAGAATACTACTCCTGGGTTCTGAGTGTTTGTCCCTCACATAGGATTCCAGAACACTGCTATGAGGGTCTGAAAATTGTCCCTCACATAGGATTCCAGAACACTGCTACGAGCATCTGATTTATTGTCCCTCACATAGGATTCCAGAACACTCCTGCTGTGGTCTGAATATTTGTCCCTCACATAGGATTCCAGAACACTGCTACGAGGGTCTGTATGTTTGTCCCGCACGTAGGTCTCCAGGACACTACTGCTGTATTCTGAATGTTCTTCCTCAAATAGGATTTCAGAACAATGCTAAGAGGGTCTGAATGTTTGTCCCACACGTAGGGATCCAGAAAAATCCCAGCTGTGGTCTGGATGACTGTCCCTCACATAGGATTCCAGAACACTGCTGCTGGATTCTGAGTGTTTCTCCCTCACATAGGATTCCAGAACACTGCTGTTGGATTCTGAGAGTTTTTCCCTTACATAAGATTCCAGAAAACAGTTATATGGGTCTATATGTTTATCCCTCACAGAGGATTCCAGAGCACTGCTACGAAGGTCTGAATGTTTGTCCCTCACATAGGATTCCAGAGCACTGCTACAGGGGTCTGAATTATTCTCTTCACATAGGATTCCAGAACACTCCTGCTGTTGTCTGAATGTTTGTCCCTCACTTAGGATTCCAGAACACTGCTGTTGGGATTTGAGTGTTTGTCCCTCAAGTATGATTCCAGAACCCTGCTACGTGGGTCTAAATGTTTGTCCCTCACATAGGATTCCAGAACACTGCTACGAGGGTCCTAATGTTTGTCCTGCACATAGGATTCCAGAACACTCCTGCTGTGTTCTGATTGTGTTTTCCTCACATAGGATTCCAGAACAATGCTACGAGTGTCTGAATCTTTGTCCCAAACTTGGATTCCAGAACCCACCAGCTGTGGTCTTTCTGATGGTCTCTCACATAGGATTCCAGAACACTGATGCTGGGTTCTGAGTGTTTCTCCCTCACATAGGAATCCAGAACCATCCTGCTGTTGTCTGAATGTGTGTCCCTCACTTAGGTTTCCAGAATACTGCTGTTGGGTTCTGAGTGTTTGTCCCTCACGTACGATTCCAGAACACTGCTACGTGGGCCTAAATGTTTGTCCCTCACATAGGGTTCCAGAACACTGCTATGAGGGTCTGAATATTTGTCCCACACTTAGGTTTCCAGAACACCCCAGCTATGGTCTGAATGATTGGCCCTCACATAGGATTCTGGTACACTGCTTCTGGGTTCTGAGAGATTCTCTCTCACATAGGATTTCATGTCACTGCTGCTGGGGTCTGAATGTTTGTCCCTCACATAGGATTCCAGAAAACTGCTACGAGGTTCTGAATTATTCTCCCTCACATAGGATTCCAGAACACTCCTCCTGTGGTCTGAATGTTTGTCCCTTACTTAGGATTCCAGAACAGTGCTGTTGGGTTCTGAGTGTTTGTCCCTCACGTACTATTCCAGAACACTGGTAAGTGGGTCTAAATGTTTGTCCCTCACTTAGGATTCCAGAACACTGCTGTTGGGTTCTGAGTGTTTGTCCCTCACATACTATTCCAGAACACTGGTACGTGGGTCTAAATGTTTGTCCCTCTCATAGGATTCCAGAACACTACTACGAGTGTCTGAATGTTTGTTCCTCACATAGGATTCCAGAACACTCCTGCTGTGGTCTCAATGTTTGTCCCTCACTTAGGATTCCAGAACACTCTTGCTGTGGTCTGAATGTTTGTCCCTCACTGAGGATTCCAGAACACTGCTGTTGGGTTCTGAGTATTTGTCCCTCACGTAGGGATCCAGAACAGTGCTACATGGGTCTAAGTGTTTCTCCCAGATATGGGATTCCAGAACACTGCTACGAGAGTTTAAATGTTTGTCCCTCACATAGGATTCCAGAACACTGCTACGAGGGACTGAATGATTGTACCTCACATAGGATACCAGAACACTCCTGCTCTCGTCTGAATGTTTGTCCTTCTAATAGGATTCCAGAACACTGCTGCTACTTTCTGAGTGTTTATCCCTCACATAGGATGCCAGAACACTGCTGCTGGGGTCTGAGATTTTGTCTCTCACATAACATTCCAGAACTCTGCTGCTGGGTTCTGAGTGTTTGTCCCTATCATACGATTCCAGAACACTGTTGCGAGGTTCTGAATGTTTGTCCCTCACATAGGATTCCAGGACACTACTGCTGTGGTCTGAATGGTTGACCCTCACATAGGATTCCAGAACACTCCTGTTGTGGTCTGGGTGTTTGTGCCTCACATGGGATTCCAGAATAATCCTGCTGTGGTCTGAATATTTCTCCCTCACATAGGATTCCAAAACATTCCTGCTGTGGTCTGAGTGTTTGTTCCTCACTTAGGTTTCGAGAACTCTCCTGCTGTGGTCTGAATGTTTGTCCCTTACATAGGAATCCAGATCACTGCTTCTGGGTTCTGAGTGTTTGTCCTTCACATAGGATTCCAGAACACTGCTACGAGAGTCTCAATGTTTGTCCCTCACGTAAGATTCCAGAACACTGCTACGAGGATCTGAATGTTTGTCTCACACGTAGGATTCCAGAACACCCTAGCTGTGGTCTGAATGATTGCCCCACACAAAGCATTCTACAACAGTGTCACTGGGTTCTGAGTGTTGTCCCTCAAATAGAATTCAGAACACTGCTACGAGGGTCTGAATGTTTGCCCCTCTAATAGGATTCCAGAACACTGCTACGAGGATCTGAATTATTGTCCCTTATGTAGGATTCCATAACACTGCTTTTGGGTTCTGAGTGTTTTTCCCTCATGTTTGATTCCAGAACAGTGTTACATGGGTCTAAATGTTTGTCCCTCACATAGGACTCCAGAACACTGCTACGAGGGTCTGAATGTTGGTCCCTCACATAGGATTCCAGAACACTGCTACAAGCGTCTAAATTATTCTCCCTCACATAGGATACCAGAACTCACATGCTGGAGTCTGAATGTTTGTTCCTCACTTACGATTCCGGAACACTCCTGCTGTGGTCTGAATGTTTGTCCCTCACTCAGGATTACAGAACACTGCTGTTGGATTCAGAGTGCTTGTCCCTCAAGTACAATTGCAGAGCACTGCTACTTGGGTTTAAGTGCTTGTCCCTCACATAGGACTCCAGAACACTGCTACGAGGGTCTGAATGTTGGTCCCTCACATAGGATTCCAGAACACTGCTACAAGCGTCTAAATTATTCTCCCTCACATAGGATACCAGAACACACATGCTGGAGTCTGAATGTTTGTTCCTCACTTACGATTCCGGAACACTCCTGCTGTGGTCTGAATGTTTGTCCCTCACTCAGGATTACAGAACACTGCTGTTGGATTCAGAGTGCTTGTCCCTCAAGTACAATTGCAGAGCACTGCTACTTGGGTTTAAGTGCTTGTCCCTCACATAGGATTCCAGAACACTGCTACAAGGGTCTGAATGTTTGTCCCGTACATAGGACTCCAGAACACACCTGCTGTGTTCTGAATGTGTTTCCCTAACCTAGGATTCCGGAACAATGCTACGAAGTTCTGAATGCTAGTCCCACACGTAGAATTCCAGAGCACCCTAGCTGTGCTCTGAATGATTTTCTCTCACATAGGATTCCAGAACCCTGCTGCTGGGTTCTGATGGCTTCTCCCTCACATAGGATTCCAGAAAACTGCTGCGAATGTCTGAATGATTGTAAATCACAAAGGATTCCGTAACACTAATGCTGTCTTCTGAATATTGGTACCTCAGATTGGATTCCAGAACACAGCAGCTGGGTTCTGAGTGTTTGTCCCTCAGAAAGGATTCTAGAACACTCCTACGAGGGTCTGAAAGTTTGTCCCTCACATAGGATTCCAGAGCACTACTGCTATCAACTGAAAATTTGACCCTCACATAGGATTCCAGAACACTCCTGCTGTTGTCTGTGCCTCACTTGGTATTCCAGAACAATCCTGCTGCAGTCTGAACGTTTCTCCATCACATAGGATTCCAAAACATTGCTTCTGTTGTCTGAGTGTTTGTCCCAAAATAGAATTCCAGGACACTGCTGCTGGGTTGTGACTGTTTGTCCCTCACAAAGCATTCCATAACACTGCTGCCGTCGTCTGAATGTTTGTCCCTCACATACGATTCCAAAACATTCCTGCTGTGGTCTCAATATCTGTTCCTCCCTTAGGATTCCAGAAGAAAGCTCTGAGGTTCTCAGTGTTTGTCTCACACTTATGATTCCAGAACGCTGCTGTGTGGGTCTAAATGTTTGTCTCTCACATAGGATTCCAGAGCACTGCTCCTGGGTACTGAATGTTTGTCCATCACATAGGATTCCAGAACACTCCTGTTGTGGTCTGAATGTTTGTCCTTCACATAGGATTCCAGAACACTGCCGCTGGGTTGTGAGTGTTTGTTCCTGACGTAGGATTCCAGAACACTGCTACGTCGGTCTAAATGTCTGTCCCTCACATAGGATTCCAGAACACTGCTCCTTGGGACTGAATGTTTCTCCCTCACATAGGTTTCTAGAACACTCCTGCTGTGGTCTGAATGTTTGTCCCTCACATAAGATTCTAGAACACTGCTGCTTTGTTCTAAAACTTTGCCCCTCACATAAGATTCTAGAACACTGCTGCTTTGTTCTAAAACTTTGCCCCTCACATAGGATTCCAGAACACTTCTAAGAGGATCTGAATGTTTGTCCCTCACATAAGATTCCAGAACACTGCTATTGTGGTCTGAATGTTTGTTCCTCACATAGGATTCCGGAACACTGCTGCTGGGTTCTTAGCGTTTTTCCTTCATATAGGATTCCAGAACACAGCTACGAGGGTCTGAATATTTGTCCTGCACATAGGACTCCAGAACACTCCTTCTGTGTTCTGAATGTATTTTCCTAACAGAGGATTCCAGAACAATGGTACGAGGTTCTGAATGCTTGTTCTACACGTAGGATTCCAGAACACCCCAGCTTTGGTCTCAATGATTGTCCCTCACATTGGATTCCAGAACACTGCTGGGTTCGCAGTGTTTGTCTCTCACATAGGATTCGAGAACAGTGCTACGAGGGTCTGAATGTTTTTCCCTCTCATAGGATTCAAGAACACTGCAGCAACCGTCTGAATTATTCTCCCACACATGGGATTCCAGGGCACTCTTGCTGTGGTCTGAACTGTGTGTCCCTGAATTAGGATTCCAGAACACTCCTGCTTTAATCTGAATGTTTGTCCCTCACATAGGATTCCAAAACACTCCTGATTTGATCTGAATGTTTGTCCCTCACATAAGATTCAAGAACACTGCTGCTGGGGTCTGGAAGTTTGTCCCTCACATATGATTTCAGAACACTTCTACGGGGTTCTCAATCTTTGTCCCTCACATAGGATTCCAGAAATCTGCTGCTGGCTTCCGAGTGTTTTTCTCTCACATAGGACTCCAGAACACTGCTATGAGGGTCTGAATGTTTGTCCCTCACATAGGATTCCTGGACACTCCTGCTGTGGTCTGAATGTTTGTCCCACACACAGGACTCCAGAACAATGCTGCTGGGTGTGAATGTTTGTCACTCACACAGGATTCCAGAACACCCCTGCTGTGTTCTGAATGTTTGTTCATCACATAGACTTCCAGAACACTCCTGCTGTGGTCTGGGTGTTTATCTCTCACATAGGATTCCAGAACAGTGCTGCTGTGGTCTGAATGTTTGTCCCTCGCATAGGATTCCAGAACACTGCTACGAAGATTTGAATGTTTGTCTGTCACATAGGATTTTAGAACACTGCAGCAGGCTTCTGAATATTTGTCCTTCACATAGGATTCCAGATCACTACTGCTGTGGTCTGAATGTTTGTCCTTTACATAGGATTTCACAACACTGCTAAGAGGGTCTGAATGTTTGTCCCCTAAATAGGATACCAGAAAACTCCTGCTGTGCTGTGAATGTTTATTCCTCACATAGGATTCCAGAACACTGCTGCTTTGGTCTGAAAGGTTGTCCCTCACAGAGGATTCCAAAACTCTGGTACGAGGTTCTGAATGTGAGTCCCTAACATAGGATTCCAGAACACTGCTGCTGGGTTCTGAGTGTTTGTACCTGCAATAAGATTCCAGAACACTTCTGCTGGGGTCTGAATGTTTCTCCCTCATGTAGGATTCCAAAACAGTCCTGCTGTCTTCTGAGTGTTTGTCCCTCAAATGGGGTTCGAGAACACTGCTATGAGGGTCTGAATTATTCTCCCTCACATAGGATTCCAGAACACGGCTATGAGGGTCTGAATGTTTGTCCCTCACATATGATTCCTGAATACTCCTGCTGTGGTCTGAAAGTTTCCCTCAAATAGGATTCCAGAACAGTGCTGCTGGGTTCTGAGTGTTTTTCCCTCACATATGATTCCAGAACACTGCTACGAGTGTCCTAATGTTTGTTCCTCACATAGGATTACAGAACACTGCTGCTGGGTTCTGTGTATTTCTCACTCACATAGGATTCCAGAACACTGCTACGAGGGTCTGAATATTTGTTCCTCACATAATATTCCAGAACACTGCCAAGAGAGTCTGAATGTTTATCCCTCAGATAAGATTACAGAACAATGCTACGAGGCTCAGAATGTTTGCTCTTCACATCGGATTCCAGAACACTACTGCAGTGGTCTGAATGGTTGATGCTCACATAGGATTCCAGAACACTCCGGCTGTGGTCTGGGTGTTTGTGCCTCACATGGGATTCCGTAACAATCCTGCTGTGGTCTGAATGCTTCTCTGTCACATAGGATTACAAAGCATTCTTGCTGTGGTCTGAGTGTTTGTCCCTCTCATAGGGCTCCAGAACATTCCTGCTGTTGTGGGAATGTTTCTCCCTCACTTATGTTTCCAGAACACTCCTGCTGTGGTCTGAATGTTTATCCCTCACTTAGGATTTCAGAACACTGCTGTTGGGTTCTGAGTGTTTTGTGCCTCACATACGATTCTAGAACACTTCTACATTGGTCTAAATGCTCGTCCCTCACATAGGGCTCCAGAAAACTACTATGAGGGTCTGAATATTTGTCCCTCACCTAAGACTCCATAACACTGCTAAGAGAGTCTGAATGTTTGTCCCGCATGTAGAATTCCAGAACACTCCTGCTGTGTTCTGAATGTATTTTCCTCACTTAGGATTCCAGAACAATGCTACGAGGGTCTGAATGGTTGTCCCACACTTAGGATTCCAGAACACCCCAGCTGTGGTCTGAATAATTGTCCCTCACATAGGATTCCAGAACACTGCTGCTGGGTTCTGAGTGTTTGTCCCTCACATAGGATTCCAGAACACTGTTACGATGGTCTGAATGTTTGTCCCTCAAATAGGATTCCAGAACACTGCTATGAGGGTATAAATTATTCTCCCTCACATAGGATTCCAGAACACTCCTGCTGTTGTCTGAATATTTTTTCCCCTCTAAGTATTCAAGAGCACTCCTGCTGCGGTCTGAGTGTTTGTCCCTCACTTAGGATTCCAGAACACTACTGTTGGGTTCTGAGTGTTTGTCCCTCAGGTACAATTCCACAACACTGCCACGTGGGTCTATATGTTTGTCTGTTACGTAGGATTCCAGAACAGTGCTACGAGGGTCTGAATGTTTTTCTCGCACATAGGACTCCAGAACACTCTTGCTGTGTTCTGAATGTATTTTCCTATGATAGGATTCCAGAAGAATGTTATGAGTGTCTGAATGCTTGTCGCACATGTAGGATTCCAGAAAACCCCAGCTGTGGTCTGAATGATTGTCCCTCACATAGGATTCCAGAACACTGCTGCTGGGTTTTCAGAGTTTGTCCCTACCATAGCATTCCAGAACACTGCGACGAGGGTCTAAATATTTGTCATTCACATAGGATTCCAGAACACTGCTGCTGGGTTCTGAGTGTTTGTCCCTCACAAAGGATTCCTGAACAATGCTGCTGTGGTCTGAATGTTTGTCTCTCATATAGGATTCCAGAACACTACTGCTGTGGTCTCAACGGTTGACCCTCAGATATGATTCCAGAATACTCCTGCTGTGATCAGGGTGTTTGTGTCTCACATGGGATTCCAGAACAATCCTTCTGTGGTCTGAATGTTTCTCCCTCACATAGGATTCCAAAACATTCCTGCTGCAGTCTGAGTGTTTGTCCCTTAAACAGGATTGTAGAACACTGCTACTGGGGTCTGAATGTTTGTCCCTCACATAGGATTCCAAAACCCTGACAGGAGGGTCTGAATTATTCTCCCTCCGATAGGATTCCAGAGCACTCCTGTTGTGGTCTGAATGTTTGTCCCTCACTTAGGATTCCAGAACACTGATGTTAGGTTCTGAGTGTCCCTCACGTGCGATTCCAGAACAATGTTACGTGGTTCTAAATATTTGTCCCTCACATAGGATTCCAGAACACTGCTAGGAGGGTCTGAATGTTTCTCTCTCACGTAGGACTCCAGAACACTCCTCCTGTTTCCTGAAAGTATTTTCCTCACATGGGATTCCAGAACAATGCTACCAGGGTCTGAATGTTTTTCCCACACTTAGGATTCCAGAACACCCCAGCTGTGTTCTGAATGATTGTCCCTCCCATAGGATTCCAGAACACTGCTGCTGGGTTCTGAGTGTTTCTCCCTCACATACGATTCCAGAACACTGCTACGAGGGTCTGAATGATTGTAGTTCACATAGGATTCCAGAACACTCCTGCTCTGTTCTGAATGTTTGTCACTCAGATAGGATTCCAGAAAAGAGGTGCTGGGTTCTGAATGTTTGTCCCTCACATAGGATTTCAGAACACTCTTGCTGTGGTCTGAATGTTTGTCCCTCACATAGGATTGCAGAGCACTACTGCTGTGGCCTGAATGGTTGACCGTCACATAGGATTCCAGAACACCCCTGCTCTTGTCTGGGTGTTTGTCCTTAAAATAGGATTCCAGAACACTGCTGCTGCGTTCTGAGTGTCTGTCCCTTCACATAGGATTCCAGAACAGTGCTGATATGGTTTGAATGTTTGTTCCTCCATAGAATTCTAGAACAATCCTGCTGTAATCTGAATGTTTGTCTCTCATACAGGATTCCAGACTACTACTGCTGTGGTCTGAATGTCTGACCATCACATAGGATTCCAGAGCAATCCTGCTGTGGTCTGGGTGTTTGTGCCTCACATGGGATTGCAGAACAATCCTGCAGTAGTCTGAATGTTTCTCCCTCACATTGGATTCCAAAACATTCCTGTTATGGTCTGAGTGTTTGTCCCTCAAATACGATTCCAGAACACTGGTATTGAGGTCTGAATATTTGTCCATCACATAGGAATCCAGAACACTATCACGAGGGTTTGAATTATTCTCCCTCACATAGGATACCAGCGCACTCCTGCTGTGGTCTGAATGTTTGTCCCTCATTAGGATTCCAGAACACTGCTGTTGGGTTCTGAGTGTTTGTCCCTCACGAACGATTCCAGAACACTCCCATGTGGGTCTAAATGTTTTTCCCTCACATAGGATTCCAGAATACCGCTAAGAGGGTCTGAATGTTTGTCCCGCACATAGGACTCCAGAACACTCCTGATGTGTTCTCAATGTATTTTCCTCACATAGGATTCCAGAACAATGCTACCGGGGTCTGAATGTTTTTCCCACATATAGGATTCCAGAACACCCCAGCTGTGGTCTGAATGATTGTACCTTACATAGGACTCCCGAACACTGCTGCTGGGTTCTGAGTGTTTCTCCATCACATAGGATTCCAGAACACTGCTGCTGGATTCTGAGTGGTTCTCCATCACATAGGATTCCAGAACACTGCTACAAGGGTCTGAACCATTGTATCTCACATAGGATTCCAGAACACTCCTGCTGTGGTCTGAATGTTTGTACCTCATCTAGGATTCCCGAGCACTGCTGCTGTGGTCTGAATGGTTGACCATCACATAGGATGGCAGAACACTCCTGCTGTGGTCTGGGAGTTTGTGCCTCCAATGGGATTCCAGAACAATCCTGCTGTGGTCTGAATATTTCTCCCTCACATAGGGTTCCAAAGCATCCCTGCTGTGCTCTGAGTGTTTGTCCCTCAAATAGGATTCCAGAACACTGTTACTGTGGTCTGAATGTTTGTTCCTCACATAGGATTGCAGAACACTGCTACGAGGCTCTGAATTATTCTCCCTTACATAGGATTCCAGAACACTCCTGCTGTGGTCTGAATGTTTGTCCCTCACTTAGAATTCCGCAACACTGATGTTGGGTTCTGAGGGTTTGTCCCTCACGTACGACTCCAGAACACTGCTACGTGGGTCTAAAGGTTTCTCCCTCACATAGGATTCCGGAACACTGCTACAAGCCTCTGAATGGTTGTCCCGCACATAGGACTCCAGAAGATTCCTGATGTGTTCTGAATGTGTTTTCCTCACATGCGATTCCAGATCAATTCTAATTGTGTCTGAATGTTTGTCCCACACGTAGGATTACAGAACACCCCAGCTGTGGTCTGAATGATTGTCCCTCACATAGGATTCCAGAACACTGCTGCTGGTTTTTGAGTGTTTCTCCCTCACGTAGGATTCCAGTACACTGCTACGAGTGTCTCAATGATTGTACTTCACAGAGGATTAAAGAACACTCCTGCTCTGGTCTGAATGTTTGTCCCTCAGATAGGATTCCAGAACACTGCTGCAAGGTTCTGAGTGTTTGTCCCTCACATAAGATTCCAGAACACTGATGCTGTGGTCTCAATGTTTGCTCCTCACCGAGGTTTCCAGAATAAGCCTGCTGTTGTCTTAATGTTTGTTCCTCAAATAGGATTACAGAACACTACTGCTGTGGGCTGAAAGGATGACCGTCATATAGGATTCCAGAACACTAGTGCTGTGGTCTGGCTGTTTGTGCCTCACGTTGGATTCTAGAACAATCCTTCTGTGTTCTGAATGTTTCTTCCTCACATAGGCTTCCAAAATATTCCTGCTGTGGTCTGAGTGTTTGTCCCTCAAATAGGATTCCAAAACACTGCTACTTGGGTCTAAAGGATTGTCCCTAACATAGGATTCTGGAACACTCCTACGAGGGTCTGTATGTTTCTTCCGCACATAGGACTCCAGAACACTCCTGCTGTATTGTGAATGAATTTTCCTCAAATAGGATTGCAGAACAATGCTGCGAGGGTCTAAATGTTTGTCTCACAGGTAGGATTCCAGAACACCCCAGCTGTGGTCTGAATGATTGTCCCTCACATAGGATTCCATAACACTGCTGCTGGGTTCTGAGTGTTTCTCCCTCACATAGGAAACCAGGACACTGCTACTGGGTTCTGAATGATTGTACCTCACATTGGACTCCAGAACACTCCTACTGTGGTATGAATGTTTGTCTCTCAGACAGGATTACAGAACACTGTTGCTGGGTTCTGAATGTTTGTCACTCACATAAGATTCCAGAACACTGCTCTTGTGTTCTGAATGTTTGTTCCTCACATAGGATTTCAGAACACTCCTGCTGTGGTCCGAATGGTTGAACCTCATATAGGATTCCAGAACACTCCTTCTGTGGTCCGGGTGTTTGTGCCTTACATGGGATTCCAGAACAATTCTGCTGTTGTCTGAATGTTTCTCTCTCACATAGGATTCCAAAACATTCCTGCTGTGGACTGAGTCTTTGTCCCTCAAATAAGATTCCAGAGCCCTGGTACTGGGGTCTGAATGTTTGTCCCTCACATAGGATTCCATAACACTGCTACGAGGTTCTGAATTATTCTCCCACACATAAGGTTGCAGAACACTCCTGCTGTGGTCTGAATGTTTGTCCCTATCTTATTATTCCAGAACACTGATGTTGGGTTCTGAGTGTTTGTCCCTCACGTACGATTCCAGAACACTACTAAGTGGGTCTAAATGTTTGTCCCTCACATAGAATTCCAGAACACTGTTACGAGGGTGTGAATGTTTGCCTCACATAGCATTCCAGAACAATGCTACAAGGGTCTGAAAGTTTGTCCCACATGTAGGATTCCAGAACACCACAGGTGTGGTCTGAATGATTGTCCCTCAAATAGGATTACAGAAGACTGCCGCTGGGTTCTGAGGGTTTCTCCCTCACACAGGATTCCAGAATACCGCTACGAGGGTCTGAATGATTGTCCCTCACATAAGATTCCAGAACCCTCCTGCTGTGGTCTGAATGGTTATACGTTACATCCGATTCCAGAACACTGCTGCTGGGTTCTGAGTGTTTGTCCCTCACATAGGATTCCAGAACACTTCTATGAGGGTCTGAATGTTTGTCCCTCACATAGGATTCAAGAACACCCAATCTATGGTCTGAATGATTGTCCCTCACATAGGATTCCATATCACTACTGCTGGGTTCTGAGTGTTTCTCTCTCACATAGGATTCCAGAACATTACTACGAGGTTCTGAATGATTGTACCTCTCATAGGATTCCAGAATACTCCTGCTTTGGTCTGAATTTCCGTCCCTCAGATAGAATGCCAGAACACTGCTGCTGGGTTCTTAGTGTTTGTCCCTTACGTAGGATTCCAGAACACTGCTACGAGGGTATGAATGTTTGTCCCTCACATAGAATTCTAGAACACTACTGCTGTGGTCTGAATGGTTGACCTTCACATAGCATTCTAGAACACTCCTGCTGTTGTCTGAGCGTTTGTGCCTCACATGGGATTCCAGAAAAATCCTGTGGTCATCTGAATGTTTCTCCCTAACATAGGATTCCAAAACATCCCTGTAGTGTTCTGAGTGTTTGTCCCTCAAATAGGATTCCAGAACGCTGCTACTGGGTTCTAAATGTTTGTCCCTCACATAGGATTCCAGAACGCTGCTACTGGGTTCTAAATGTTTGTCCCTCACATAGGATTCCAGAGCAATGCTATGACCATCTGAATTATTCTCCCTCACATAGGATTCCAGAACACTACTGCTGTGGTCTGAATGTTTGACCCTCATATAGGGTTCCAGAACACTCTTGTGTTCTCCGTGTTTGTGCCTTACATTGGTTTCTGGAACAATCCTGCTGTGGTCTGAATGTTTCTCCCTAACATGGGATTCTAAAATATTCCTGCTGTAGTCTGAGGGTTTGTCCCTCAAATAGGATTCCAGAAAACTGCAACTTGAGTCTGAATGTTTCTCCCTCACATAGGATTCCAGATCACTGCTACGATGGTCTGCATTATTCTCCCTCACAAAGGATTCCAGGAGACTCCTGCTGTGGTCTGAATGTTTGTTCCTCACTAAGGATTCCAGAACACTGCTGTTGGGTTCTCAGTGTTTGTCCCTCACGTACGATTACAGAACACTGCTACATGAGTCTAAAAGTTTTTCCCTCAATAGGATTTCGGAACACTGCTGCTGGCGTCTGAATGTTTGTACCTCACATGGGATTCCAGAACAATCGTGCTGTGGTCTGAACGTTACTCACATAGGATTCCAGAACATTCCTTCTGTGGTCTGAATGTTTCTCCCTCACATCGGATTCCAGAACACTGCTACGAGAGTCTGAATACATTTCCCTCACATAGGATTTCAGAACACTGCTAAGAGAGTCTGAATGTTTGTCCTTCACATAAGATCCAAGAACACTGCCTCTGGGTTTTGATTGTCCTTCACATCGAATTCTAAAACACTGCCACAGGAGTCTGAAAGTTTGTCCCTGACATAGGATTCAAAAGCACTGCTAAGAGGTTCTGAAGCTTTGTCCCTCACATAGGATTCTGGAAAAATTTTGCTGTGGTCTGAATGTTTGTTCTGCACAAAGGATTCCAGAAAACTTCTGCTGTGGTCTGTATATTTGTCCCTCACATAGGATTCCAGAACACCCCTGCTGGGTTCTGGCTGTCCCTCACATAAGACGCAATAACCCTCCTGCTGTGATCTGTATGTTTGTCCCTCACATAGGATTCCACAACACTGTTAGGAGGGTCTGAATGTTTGTCCTTCACATAGGATTCCAGAACACTGCTGCTGGGGACTAAATGTTATTCCTTCAAAAAGGATTCCAGAACACTTCTGCTGGGGTCTGGATGTTTTCTCCCTCACATAGGATTGCTTAAAAATGCTTCTAGACTCTAAATGTTTGTCCATCACAGAGGATTCCAGAATCGTTCTGCTGGTTTCTGACTGTTTCTCCCACACATAAGTATCCAGAACACTGCTGCAGGGGTCTGAATGTTTATCCATCACATAGGATTAAAGAACACTCCTGCTTAGGTCTGAATGTTTGCCCCTCATATAGGATTCCAGAACAATGCTTCTGGCATCTGAATGTTTGTCGCTCGCATAGGATTCCACAACACTGCTGCTGGTTTCTGAGTGTTTGGCCTTCACATAGGATTCCAGAACACTGCTACCAGGGTCTGAATGTCTGTCTCTCACATAGGATTCCAGAACATTCCTCCTGTGGTATGAATGTTTGTCCCTCTCATAGGATTCCAGAACACTGCTGCTGGGTTCTGAGTGGTTAGCCCTCACAAAGGATTCCAGGACACTGCTAAGAGGGACTGAATGTTTGTCCCTCAAATAGCATTCCAGAACACTCCTGATGTGGTCTAAATATCCGTTCCTCACATAGGATTCCAGAAGAATTCTGCTCTAGTCTGAATCTTTGTCCCTCACTAGTATTCCAGAACACTGCTTCAAGGGTCTGAATGTTTGTCCCTCACAGGGGATTCTAGTACACTCCTGTTGTGGTCTGACTGTTTGTCCCCCACATAGGATTCCAGAACACTGCTAGGAGGAACTAAATGCTTACCCCTCACATAGGTTTCCGGAACACTCTTACCAGGGTCTGAATGTTTGTCCCTCACAGGGGATTCTAGAACACTCCTGTTGTGATATGAGTGTTTCTCCCTCACATATGATTCCAGAACACTCCTGCTGTTGTCTGAATGCTTTTCCCTCACACAGGTTCCCAGAACACCCCTGTTGGGTTGTGAGAGTTTGTCCCTCTCCTAGGATTCCAGAAAACTGCTACGAGGTTCTGAATATTTGCCCCTCACATAGGAATCCAGGACACTGCTGCTGTGTTGTAAATGTTTGTTTCTCACATAGGATTTCAGAAGACTCCTGCTGTTGTCTTAAAGTTTGTCCCACACATAGGATTCCAAAACACTCCCGCTGTTGTTTGAATGTTTGTCCCTTACATAGGATTCCAAAACAATTCTGCTGGCGTCTGAATGTTTGTCCCTCACGTAGGATTCAAGAACACCGTTACGAATGTCTGAATGTTTGTTCCTCACATAGGATTTCAGAACAATACAGCTGTGATCTGACTGTTTGTCCCTCAAATAGGGTTCCAGAACACTGCTGCTGGGTTCTGAGTGTTTGTCCCTCACATCGGATTCCTGAACACCGCTGCGAGTGTCTGAATGATTGCCCCTCACATAGGATTCTAGAACAGTGCTGCTGAGGTCTAAATGTTTGTCCGACACATATGATTCCAGAACACTGCTAAGAGGGTCTGAAGGTTTGTTCCTCACACAGAATTCCAGAACACTGCTACGAGCATCTGAAAGTTTGTCCCTCACACAGGATTCCAGAACACTGCTACGAGGGTCTGAAAGTTTGTCCCTCACACAGAATTCCAGAACACTGCTATGAGCATCTGAAAGTTTGTCCCTCACACAGAATTCCAGAACACTGCTACAAGCATCTGAATGATTGTCCCTCATATAGGATTCCAGAACGCTGCTGCTGGGGTGTGAATGTTTGTCCCTCACATAGGATTCCAGAACAATGCTGCTGGAGTCTATATGTATGTCCTTCACATGATTCCAGAACCTTGCTGCTGGGTTCTGAGTATTTCTCCCTCACATAGAATTCCAGAACACTGCGACGAGGGTCTGAATGTTTGTTCATAACATAGGATTCCAGAACACTTTCGCTGTTGTTTTAAAGTTTGTCCCTCACATAGGATTCCAGAACACTGCTGCTGAGGTCTGAATGTTTGTCCCTCGCATAGGATTCCAGAACACTGCTGAGACTGTCTGAATGTTTGTCCCTCACATATTATTCCAGAACATTGCTACGATTGTCTAAATGTTTGTCCCTAACATAGCATTCCAGAACAATGCTCCGAGGGTCTGAATGTTTGTCCCTCACATACGATTCTGGAACACTGCTGCGAGGGTCTCAAAATTTGTCCCTCACATAGGATTCCAAAACACTCCTGCTGTGTTCTGAGTGTTTGTCCCTAACATAGGATTCCAGAACAATCCTGCAGTGGTCTGAATGTTTGTCCCTCACATAGGGTTCCAGAACACTGCTGCTGGGTTCTGAGTGTTTGTACCTCACATAGGATTCCAGAACACTGCTGCTATGGTCTAAATGTTTCTCCATCACGTAGGATTCCAGAACATTGCTACGAGGGTCTGAATGTTTCTTCCTCACAGGGGATTCCGTAACACTCCTGCTGTGGTCTGAACGTTTGTCCCTCAGACAGGATTCCAGAACACTACTACGAGGTACCTAATGCATGTCCATCACACAGAATTCCAGAACACTGCTCTGAGGGTCTGAATGATTGTCCCTCTCATGTTATTCCAGTACACTACTGATGGGGTCTGAATGTTTGTCCCTCACATAGGATTCCAGAACACTGCTACGGGGCTCTGAATATTTGTCACTCACATAGAATTCCAGAACCCTTCTACGATTGTCTGAATGTTTGTCCCTCACGTAGGATTCCAGAACACCGCTACAAATGTCTGAAGGTTTGTCCCTCACTTAGGATTCCAGAAGAATACAGCTGTGGTCGGAATGTTTGTATCTCACATAGGGTTCCAGAACACTGTTGCTGGGTTCTGAGTATTTGTACTTCACATAGGATTCCAGAACACTGCTACGAGTGTTTGAATGACTGTCCCTCACATAGGATTCCAGAACACTTCTACGATTGTCTGAATGTTGGTCTCTCACACAGGGTTCCAGAAGACTGCAGCTGGGTTCTGAGTGTTTGTCCCTCACTTAGAATTCCAGAACACTGCAACGACGGTTTGAATATACGTTCCTAACATAGGATTCCAGAACACTCCCGCTGTTGTTTGAATGTTTGTCCCTCACATAGGATTCCAGAACACTGCTACGGTTTTCTGAATGTTTGTCCCTCACATAGGATTCCAGAACACTTCTACCAGGGTCTGAATGTTTGTCCCTCACATAGGATTCCAGAACACTTCTACGATTGTCTGAATGTTGGTCCCTCGCATAGGATTCCAGAACATTGTTATGAGGGTCTGAATGTTTGTTCCTCACAGGGGATTCCAAAACACTCCTGCTGTGTTCTGAGTGTTTGTCCCTCACATAGGATTCCAGATCACTGCAACGAGGGTCTGAATGAATGTGCCTCATATAGGATTCTAGAACGCTGCTGCTGAGGTCCGAATGTTTCTCTCTGACATAGGGTTTCAGAAAACTGCTACAAGGGTCTGAATGTTTGTCCCTAATATAGGATTCCATAACACTCCGGCTGTGGTCTGAATGTCTGTCCCTCACACAAGATTCCAGAACTCTGCTGCTGTAGTATGAATGGATCTCCATCACATAGCATTCCAGAACACTGCTACGAGGGTCTGAATGTTTGTGCCTCAAATAGGATTCCAGAACACTGCTGCTGGGGTCCGAATGTTTGTGCTCAAATAGGATTCCAAAGCACTGCTACGAGATTCTGAATGTTTTTCCATCACATAAGATTCCAGAAAACTGCTACGAGCGTCTGGAAGTTAGTGCCTCATATAGGACCAAAGAACTCTGCTGCTAGAATGCGAATGTTTGTTGCTAACATACAATTCCAGAACACTCCTGCTGTGTCTGAATGTTTGTCTTTCACAAAAGATTCCAGAACACTCCTGCCAGGGTCTTAATTTTTGTCCCTCACATAGGATTCAACAACACTGCTGCTGGGGTCTCAAAGTTTGTCCCTCAGGTAGGATTCCAGAACACTGCTGCTGGGGTCTAAAAGTTTGTCTGTCACATAGGATGCCAGAAAACTGCTGTTAGTTTCTGAGTGTTTCTCCCTCACATAGAATTCCATAACAATGCAATGAGGATCTGAATGTTTGTCCATAACATAGGATTTCAGAACACTCCAGTTATTGTTTCAATGTTTGTCCCTCGCATAGGATTCCAGAACACTGCTAAGAGGGTCTGAATGTTTGTCCCTCACATAGGATTCCAAAACACTCCTGCTGTGTTCTGAGTGTTTGTCCTTCACATAGGATTCCAGATCAATCATGCAGTGGTCTGAATGTGTGTCCCTCACATAGGTTTCCAGAACACTGCTAAGAGGTTCTGAATGTTTGTCCCTCACATAGGATTCCAAAACACTCCTGCTGTGTTCTGAGTGTTTGTCCTTCACATAGGATTCCAGATCAATCATGCAGTGGTCTGAATGTGTGTCCCTCACATAGGTTTCCAGAACACTGCAACAGGGGTCTGAATGTTTTTCCCTCACATTGCATTCCAGAAAACTGCTACGATTCTCTGAATGTTTGTCTCCCACATAGGATTCCAGAACACTGCTACGAGGGTCTGATTGTTTTTTTCTCACATTGGACCCCAGAACTCTGTTGCTGGGGTCTATATGTTTCTCTGTCAAATAGGATTCCAGAACCCTGATACGAGGGTCTGAATGTTTGTTCCTCACAGGGGATTCCAGAACACTCCTTCTTTGGTTTAAAGCTTTGTCCCTCACACGGAATTACAGAACAGTGGTACGAGGGTCTGAATGATTGTCCTTCCCATAGGATTCCAGAACACTGCTATGATAGTCTTAATATTTGTCCCTCACATAGGATTCCAGAACACTGCTACGATAGTCTGAATGTTTGTCCCTAACATAGGATTCCAGAACACTGCTATGAGGATCTGAATATTTGTCTCTCACATAGGATTCCAAAACACTCTTGCTGTGTTCTGAGGGTTTGTCTCTCACATAGGATTCCAGAACACCGCTACGACAGTCTGAATGTTTGTCCCTCACATTGGATTTAAGAACACTGTTATGAAGTTCTGAATGTTTGTCCCTCACATAGGATTCCAGAACACTGCTACGATTATGTGAATGTTTGCTCCTCACATAGGATTCCAGAACACTGCTACGAGGGTCTGAATATTTGTCCTCCAAGTTGGATTCCAAAACACTCCTGCTGTTTTCTGAATGTGTGTCCCTCACATAGAATTCCAGAACAATCCTGCTGTGGTCTGAATGTTTGTCCCTAACATAGTGTTCCAGAACACTGCAGCTGGGTTCTGAGTGTTTGTCCCTCACATAGGATTCCAGAACACTGCTACGAGTGTCTGAATGTTTCTCTCTCACATAGGATTCCAGAACACTGCTGCTGGGGTTTAAATGATTGTCCATCACATAGGATTCCTGAACACTGCTACGAGTGTCTCAATGTTTGTTCCTCACCGGGGATTCCACAACACCCCTGCTGTGGTCTGAAAGTTTGTCCCTCACATTGAATTCCAGAAAACTGCAAGGAGGGTCTGAATGTTTGTCCCTCACACAGAATTCCAGAACACTACTACGAGGGTCTGATTGACTGTCCCTCACGTAGGATTCCAGAACACTGCTTCTGGGGTCTTAATGTTTGTCCCCCACATAGGACTCCAGAACACTGCTGCAGGAGTCTATGTGTATGTCTTTCACATCGGATTCCAGAACACTGAGGCCGGGTTCTGAGTGTTTCTCCCTCACATAGATTCCAGAACACTGCATCGAGGGTCTGAATGTATGTTTCTTTTTATGTTATATTATTTCGTTTATTATTATTATACTTGGAATTTATGTTTCTAACGTAGGATTCCAGAACACTTCCGCTGTTTTTTGAATGTTTTTCCCTCACATAAGATTCCAGAACACTGCTGCTGGGGACTGAATATTTGTCACTCACATTCCAGAACAGTTCTACGGTTGTCTGAATGTTTCTCCCTCACATAGGATTCCAGAACACTGCTACAAGGGTCTGAATGTTTGTCCCTCAGATAGGATTTCAGAACACTTCTACGATTGTCTGATTGTTGGTCCCTCACATCGGATTCCAGAACACTGCGACGAGGGTCTGAATATTTGTTCCTCACAGGGGATTCCAAAACACTCCTGCTGTGTTCTGTTTGTCCCTCACATAGGATTCCAGATCACTGCAACGAGGGTCTGAATGAATGTGCCTCATATAGTATTCCAGAACACTGCTGCTGGGGTCTGAATGTTTGTCCCTCACATAGGATTCCAGAACACTGCTGCTGCAGTCTACTCGTGTGTCCCTCACATTGGATGCCAGAACACTGCTGCTGGTTCTGAGTGTTTCTCCCACACATAGAATTCCAGAACACTGCAACGGGGGTCTGAATGTATGATCCTAACTTAGGATTCCAGACCACTCCCGCTCTTGTTTGAGTGTTTGTCTGTCACATGGGATTCCAGAACACTTCTGCTAGGGTCTGAATGTTTGTCCATAACATAGGACTCCAGAACACTCCCGCTGTTGTTTGAACGTTTGTCCCTCATATAGGATTCTAGAACACTGCTTCTAGGTTCTGAATGTTTGTCCCTCACGTAGGATTCCAGAACACTGCTACAATTGTCTGAACCTTTGTCCCTCATATAATATTCCAGAACACTTCTGTGAGGATCGAAATGTTTGTCACATATTATTACAGAACACCCCCACTGTGGTCTGAATGTTTCTCCCGCACATAGGATGACAGAATACTGCTGAGAGGGTCTGAATGATTGTCCCTCAAATAGGATTCCAGATCAATGCTGCTGGGGTCTAAAGGTTTGTCCGTCACATCGGATTCCAGGTTACTGCTACAGGGTTCTGAATGTTTATTCCTCACAGGGGATTCCAGATCACTACTTCTGTGTTCTGAAAGTTTGACCCTCACGTAGGATTCTGGAACACTGCCATGATTGTCTGAAAGTTTTTCCCTCACACAGAATTCCAGAACAATGCAACGAGGGGCTGAATGATTGTCTCTCATGTAGGATTTCAGAAGACTGCTGCTGGGGTCTGAATGTTTGTCCCTCACATACGAGTCCAGAACACTGCTGCTGAGGTCTGCATGTATGTCCATCGCATAGAATACCAGAACACTGCTGCGGAGTTCTGAGTCTTTCTCCGTCACATAGAATTCCGGAAAACTGCGATGATGGTCTGAATGTTTGTCCGTAACATAAGATTCCCGAACACTCCCGCTGTTGTTTGTTTGAATGTTTGTTCCTCACATAGGATTCCAGAACACTGCTGCTGGGTTCTGAATGTTTGTCCCTCGCATAGGATTCCAGAACACTGCTACGATTGTCTGAATGTCTGTCCATCACATAGGATTCCAGAACACTGCTGCTGGGGTCTAAATCTTTGTCCGTCACATTGGATTCCAGAACACAGGTATGAGGGTCTGAATGTTTCTCCCTCACAGGCGATTCCAGAACACTCCTGCTGTGGTCTGAATGTTTGTCCCTCACATAGGTTTCCAGAGCACTAGTAGGAGTGTCTGATTTTTTGTCCTCCCATAGGATTCCAAAACACTGCTACGAGGTTCTGAATGTTTTTCCCTCACATAGGATTTCAGAACACTGCTGCGAGCATCTGAATTTTTGTTTCTCACATAGGACAAAAGAACACTGGTGCTGGGGTCTGAATGTTTGTTGCTCCCATAGGATTCCAGAACACTCCTGCTGTAGTCTGAATGTTTCTCATTAACAAAAGATTCCAGAACACTCCTGCTGGGATCTCAATATTTGTCCCTCACACAGGATTCAAGGACACTGCTGCTCTGGTCTGAAAGTTTGTCCCTCACATAGGATTCCAGTACACTGCTACGAGGGTCTGAATATTTGTCCCTCACATAGGATTCCAGAACACTGCTGCGATTGTTTGAATGTTTGTCTTTCACGTAGGATTTCAGAACACTGATACAAGAGTCTGAATGTTTGTCCCTCACATCGGATTCCAGAACACTCCTACGATTGTCTGAATGTTTGTCCCTTAGATAGGATTCCAGAACACTGCTACGAGGGTCTGAATGTTTTTCCCTCATATAGGATTCCAAAACACTCCTGCTGTGTTCTGAGTGTTTGTAGACACATCAGATCCAGAACACTACTGTTGTGATCTGAATGTTTCTGCATCACACCAGATTCCAGAACACGCTACGAGGTTCTGAATGACGGTCCCACACATAGGATTCCAGAACACCGCTGCTGGGGTCTAAATGTTTGTCCATCACACAGGATTCAAGAACAGTGCTACGAGGGTCTGAATGTTTCTTCCTCACTGGGGATTCCAGAATAGTCCTGCTGTGGTCTGAATGTTTGTCCCTCACACAGAATTCCAGAACACTGTTACGAGGGTCTGAATGATTGTCCTTCATATAGGATTCCAGAACTCTGCTGCTGGTGCCTGAATGTTTTTCCCTCACATAGGATTCCAGAACGCTGCTGCTGGGGTCTACATGTATGTCCGTCACATAGGAATCCAGAACACTGCTGCTGGGTTCTGTGTGTCTCTCCCTCACATAAATTCCAGAACACTGCGACGAGGGTATGCATGTTTGTCCGAAATGTAGGATGTCAGACGCTCTCGCTGTTTTTTGAATGTTTATCCCTCCCATAGGATTCCAGAACACTCTACGATTGTCTGAATGTCTGACCCTCACATAGGATTCCAGAACACTGCTGGGAGGCTCTGAATTTTTGTCCCTCCCATAGGATAACAGAACACTGCTACGATTGTCTGCATTTTTGTCCCTCACATAGGATTCCAGAACACTGCTACGACTGTCTGCATTTTTGTCCCTCACATAGGATTCCAGAACACTGCTAGGATGATCTGAATATTTGTCCCTCACATAGGATTCCAGAACACTGCTAGGATGATCTGAATATTTTTCCCTCACATAGGATTGCAGAACACTGCTATGAGTGTATGAATGTTTGCCTCTCACATAGGATTCCAGAACACGGCTTTGATTATCTAAATGTTAGTCCCTCACATAGGATTCCTGAACACTCCTGCTGTGGTCTGATAGTTTTTCCCTCACATAGGATTCCAGAACACTGCTACGAGGCTCTGAATGTTTGTCCCTCACATAGGATTCCAAAACACTCCTGCAGTGTTCGAAGTGTTTGTCCCCCACATAGGATTTCAGAACAATCTTGCTGTGGTCTCAATGTTTGTCCCTCCATAGGATTCCAGAATACAGTTGCTGAGTTCTGAGGGTTTGTCCCTCACATAGGATTCCAGAACACTGCTACGAGGTTCTGAATGTTTGTCTCTCACATAGGATTCCAGAACACTGCTGCTGGGGTCTAAATGTTTGTCCATCACATCGGAATCCAGACCACTTTTATGAGGGTCTAAAAGTTTCTTCCTCACAGGAGATTCCAGAACACTTCTGCAGTGTTCTGAATGTTTGTACCTCACATAGGATTCCAGAACACTGCTGCTGCCATCTAAATGTTTGTCTGTCACATAGGATTCCAGAACACTGCTATGAGGTCTCAATGTTTGTCCCTCACGTAGTATTCCAGAACACTGCTACGAGGGTCTGAATGTTTGTACCTCACAGAGCATTCCAGAACACTGCTATGAGTTTCTGGATGTTTATCCCTCACACAGAATTCCACAATACTGCTACAAGGGTCTGAATGATTGTCCCTCTCATAGGATTCCAGAACACTGCTGCTGGGGTCTGAATGTTTGTACCTCACATAGGATTCCAGAACACTGCTGCTGGGTTCTGGATGTTTGTCCATCATATAGGATTCCACCACACTGCTGCTGGGGTGTAGATTTATGGGCGTCACCTAGATTCCAGAACACTGCTGCAGGTTTCTGAGTGTTTCTCCCTCACATAGAATTCTAGAACACTGCAACTAGGGTCTGAATGTTTGTCCTTAACATAGGATTTCAGAACACTCCCGCTGTTGGTTGAATGTTTCTCCCTCACATAGGATTCCAGAACACTGCTCCTGGGGTCTGAATGTTTGTCCCTCACATAGGATTCTGGAACACTGCTATGATTATCTTAATACATGTCCCTCACAAAGGATTCCAGAACATTCCTACGAGGGTCTGAATGTATGTCCCACACATAGGATTCCAGAACACTGCTGCTGGGGTCTGAATGTTTGTCCCTCACATAGAATACCAGAAAACTGCTACGATTGTCTGAATGTTTGTTCCTCACTGGGGATTCCAGAACACTGCTACTGGGTCTAAATGTTTATCCATCACTTAGGATTCCAGAACACTGCTACGAGGGTCGGAATGTTTGTTCCTCACGGTGGATTCCAGAACACTCCTGCTGTGGTCTGAATGTTTGTCCCTCACAAAGGGCTCCAGAACACTTCTACAAGGGTCTGAATGTTTCTCACTCACACAGAATTCCAAAACACTGCAACGAGGGTCTGAATGATCATCCCTCACATAGGAGTCCAGAACAATGCTGCTGGGGTCTACATGTCTGACCGTCACATAGGATTCCAGAACAATGCTGCTGGGGTCTGCATGTCTGTCCGTCACATAGGATTCCAGAACAATGCTGGTGGGTTCTGAATGTTTCTCCCTCACATAGAATTCCAGAACACTCGGACGAGGGTCTGAATATTTGCCTGTAACATAGGATTCCAGAACACTCCCACTGTTGTATGAATGTTTGTCCCTCACATAGGATTCCAGAACGCAGCAGCTGAGGTCTGAATGTTTGTCCCTCACATAGGATTCCAGAATTCTGCTATGATTGTCTGAACGTTTTTCCCTCACATAAAACTCCAGAACACTGCTGCTGGGGTCTGAATGTTTGTCTGTCACATAGGATTCCAGAACACTTTTACTAGTGTCTGAATGTTTGTTCCTCACTGGGGATTCCAGAGCACTCTTCCTGTGGTCTGAATGGTTGTCCTTCACATAGGATTCCAGAACACTGCTACGACGTTCTGAATGCTTGTCCCTCACACAGAATTCCAGAACACTGTTACGAGGGTACGAATGACTGTGCCTCGCATAGAATTCCAGAACACTCCTGCTGAGGTCTAAATGTTTGTCCGTAACATAGGATTACAGAACAATCCTGCTGTGGTCTGAAATTTTGACCCTCACACAGGGTTCCAGAACACTGCTGCTCATTTCTGAGTGTTTGTCCCTCACATAGGATTCAAGAACACTGTGAAAACGGTGTGAATATTTGTCTGTAACATAGGATTATGGAACACTCCCGCTGTTGTTTGAATGTTTATCACTCACATAGGATTCCAGAACACTGCTGCTGGGGTCTGAATGTTTGTCCCTCACATAGGATTCCAGCACACTGCTATGATTATCTCAATGTTTGTCCCTCACATAGGATTCCAGAATACTCCTTTGAGGGTCTGAATGTTTGTCCCTCACATAGGATTCCAGAACACTGCTACAAAACTCTGAATGCTTTTCCCTCACATAGGATTCCAGAACACTGCTAACTAGGGTTTGAATGTATGTCCCTCCCATAGGATTCCAGAACACTCCTGCTGTGGTCTGAATGCTTGTCCCTCACATACGATTCCAGAACACTACTACGAGGGTCTGAATTTTTGTCACTCACATAGGATTCCAAAACATTCCTGTTATTTTCTTAGTGTTTGTCCCTCACATATCATTCCAGAACAATCCCGCTGTGGTCTGAATGTTTGTCCCTCACATAGGATTCCAGAAAACTGCTACAAGATTCTGAATGGTTTTCCTCACTGAGGATTCCAGAACACTGCTCCTGGGGTATAAATATTTGGCCGTCACATAGGATTCCAGAACACTACTATGAGGGTCTTTATGTTTGTTCCTCACAGGGGATTCCAGAACACTAATGCTGTGGTCTGAATGTTCGTTCCTAACACAGGATTCTGGTACACTGCTATGAGGGTCAGAATGTTTGTCCCTCACATTGGATTCCAGAACAATGCTACCAATGTCTGAATGTTTGTCCCTCACATAGAATTCCAGATCACTGCTATGAGGGTCTGAATGTTTGTCCCTCACATAGGATTCCAGAACACTCCTGCTATGGTCTGTATATTTGTCCCTCACATATGATTCCAGAACACTGCTACGAGAGTCTAAACGTTTGTCCCTCACACAGGATTTCAAAACCTTTCTGCTGGGTTCGGAGTGTTGGTCCCTCACATAGGTTTCCAGAACAATCCTGGCATGGTCTGAATGTTTATCCCTCACATAGGGTTCCAGAACACTGCTGCTGGTTTCAGTGTGTTTGTCGCTCATGTAGGATTCCAGAACACTGCTATGAGGGTCTGAATGTTTCTCCCTCACATAGGATTCCAGAACACTGCTGCTGGGGTCTAAATGTTTGTCTGTCACATAGGATGATTTCACATAGGATTACAGAACACTGCTAAGAGGGTCTGAATGTTTGTTCCTCACAGATGATTCCAGAACACTCCTGCTGTTGTCTGAATGTTTGTTCCTCACAGATGATTCCAGAACACTCCTGCTGTTGTCAATGTTTGTCAATCACATAGGATTCCAGAACACTGCTATGAGGCTCTGAATGTTTGTTCCTCACACAGAATTCCAGAATACTGCTACCAGGGTCTGAATGATTATCCCTATTCTAGGATTCCAGAACACTGTTGCTAGGGTCTGAATGTTTGTCTGTCTCATAGGATTCCAGAATAATGCTGCTGGGGTCTACATGTGTGTCCATCCCATAGGATTCCAGAACAGTGCTGCTGGTTTCTAAATGTTTCTCCCTCACATAGAATTCCAGAACACTGCGACAAGGGTCTGATATTTGTCCATAACATAGGATTACAGAACACTCCCACAGTTGTTTGAATGTTTGTCCCTCACATAGGAATCCAGAACACTGCTAATGGGGACTGAATGTTTGTCCCTCACGCAGGATTCCAGAACAATGTTACGATTATATTAATATTTGTCCATAACATAGGATTACAGAACACTCCCGCAGTTGTTTGAATGTTTGTCCCTCTCAAAGGATTCCAGAACACTGCTACGCGGGTCTGAATGTTTGTCCGTAACATATGATTCAAGGACACTCCCGCTGTTGTTTGAATGTTTGTCCCTCACATAGGATTCCAGAACACTGCTGCTGTGGTCTAAATGTTGGTCCCTCACATAGGATTACAGAACACTGCCACGAGGGTCTGAATATTTGTTCCTCACAGGGGATTCGAGAACACTCCTGCTGTGGTCTGAATGTTTGTCAATCACATAGGATTCCAGAACACTCCTATGAGGCTCTGAATGTTTGTCCCTCACACAGAATTGCAGAACACTGCAGCCAGGATCTTAATGATTATCCCTACTCTAGGATTCCAGAACACTGCTGCTGGGGTCTGAATGTTTGTCCGTCTCACAGGATTCCAGAACAATGCTGCTGGGGTCTACATGTGTGTCCATCCCATAAGATTCCAGAACACTGCAGCTGGTTTCTAAGTGTTTCTCCCTCACATAGGATTCCAGAACACTGCGATGAGGGTCTGAATGTTTGTCCGTAACATAGGATTACAGAACACTCCCGCTGTTGTGGGAATGTTTGTCCCTCACATAGGAATCCAGAACACTGCTAATGGGGACTGAATGTTTGTCCCTCACACAGGATTCCAGTACAATGTTACGATTTTCTTAATATTTGTCCCTCACATAGGATTCCAGAACAAACCTGGAGGGTCTGAATGTTTGTCCCTCTCATAGGATTCCAGAACACTGCTACGAGGGTCTGAGTGTTTGTCCATAACATATGATTCAAGAGCACTCCCGCTGTTGTTTGAATGTTTGCCCCTCACATAGGATTCCAGAACACTGCTACGATTGTCTGAGTTTCTTCCTCACCTAGAATTCCAGACCACTGAGATGAGGGTCAGAATTTTTGTCCCTCAATAGGATTCCAGAATGCTGCTGCTAGGGTCTGAATGTTTGTCCCTCACTTAGGATTCCAGAACACTGCTGCTGGGGTCTACATTTATGTCCGAAACATAGGATTCCAGAACACTGCTGCTGGTTTCTGAGTGTTTCTCACTCACAAACAATTCCAGAACACTGCGACGAGGGTTTGAATGTTTGTCCGTAACATAGGATTCAAAAACACTCAAGTATTTATTTGAATGTTTGTCCCTCACATAGGATTCCAGAACAATGCTACGAGGGTGTGAATGTTTGTCCCTCACTTAGGATTCCAGAACACTCCTGCTGTGGACTGAATGTTTGTCCCTCAGAAAGAAAGCCAGAGCAGTGCTACCAGGGTCTGAATATTTGTCCCTCACATAGGATTCAAGGACCCTGCTGCTGGGGCCTAAATGTTTGTCCTTCAAATAGGATTCCAGAACACTACTACGAGAGTCTGAATGTTTGTTCCTCACAGGGGATTCCAGAACACTTCTGCTGTGGTCTGAATGTTTGTCACTCACATGGGATTCCACATCACTGCTATGAGTGTCTGAATGTTTGTCCCTCACAAAGAATTCCAGAACACTGCTACGAGGGTCTTTATGACTGTCCATCACATAGGATACCAGAACACTGCAGCTGGGGTCTGAATGTTTGTCCCTCACACAGGATTCCAGAACACTGCTGCTGGGGTCTGAATGTTTGTCTGTCACAAAGGATTCCAGAGCACTGCTGCTATGGTCTACATGTATGTCCTTCACATAGGATTCCAGAACACTGCTGCTGGGTTCTGAGTGTTTCTCCCTCACATAGAATTCCAGAACACTGCGACGAGGGTCTGAATGCTTGTCCGTGACATAAGATTCCAGAACACTCCCGAGGATGTTTGAATATTTTTCACTCATATAATATTCCAGAACACTGCTATGACGTTCTGAAATATTGTCCCTCACATGAGATTCTATAATACTGCTGCTGGGGTCTAAATGTTTGTCCGTCAGATAATATTCCAGACACTGTTAGGAGGTTCAAAATGTTTGTTCCTCACAGGGGATTCCAATACACTCTTGGTGTGGCCTGAATTTTTGTCCCTCACACAGGACTCCAGAACATTGCTACGAGTGTCTGAATGTTTGTCCCTCACATGGGATTCCAGAACACTGCTGCTGTGGTCTAAATGTGTGTCAGTCACATAGGATTACAGAACACACCTACGAGGGTCTGAATGTTTGTTCCCCACAAGGGATTCCAGAAGAGTCCTGCAGTGGTCAAAATGTTTGTCCCTGACACAGGATTCTGGAACACTGCTGAAAGTGTCTGAATGGTTGTCCCTCAAATAGGATTCCAGAACACTGCTGCTGGGGTCTGAAAGTTTGTCACTAACATTGGATTCCAGAACACTGCTACGATTGTCTGAATGTTTGTCTCTCACATAGGATTCCAGAACACTCTTACGAGGGTCTGCATGTTTGTCCCTCACATGGGATTCCAGAACACTGCTACGATTGTCTGAATGTTTGTACCTCACATAGGATTCCAGAACACTGCTACGAGGTTTTGAAATTTTGTCCCACACACAGGATTGCAGAACACAGCTATGAGGGTCTAAAAGTTTGTTTCTCAAAGGGAATTCCAAAACAGTCCTGCTGTGGTCTGAATGTTTGTCCCTCACATAGGATTCCAGAACACTGCTATCAGGGTCTGAATGTTTATCCCTCACTCAGGATTCCAGAACACTGTTGTGAAGGTCAGATTGTTTATCCCTCACATAGTATTCTAAAACACTCCTGCTATGTTTTGAGTGTTTGTCACTCACATAGGATTCCAGAACACTGCTGCTGGGTTCTAAATATTTGTCCATCAGATAAGATTCCAGTACACTGCTATGAGGGTCGGAATGTTTGTTCCTCACAGGGGATTCCAGAACACTCTTGCTGTGGTCGGAATGTTTTTCCCTCACACAGGATTGCAGAACACTGTTACGACGGTCTGAATGTTTGCCCCTCACACAGAATTCCAAAACACGGCTATGATGGTCTGAATGATTGTCCCTCACATGGGATTCCAGAACACTGCTGCTGGAGTCTGAATGTTTGTCCCTCACATAGGATTCCAGAACACTGCCGCTGGGTTCCGAGTTTTTGTCCCTCACAGGGAATTCCAGAACACTGCCGCTGGGTTCCGAGTTTTTGTCCCTCACAGGGAATTCCAGAACACTGCAACGATGGTCTCAATGTTTGTCTGTAACATAGGGTTCCAGAACAATCTCTCTGTTTTTTGAATGTTTGTCCCTCACATAGGATTCCAGAACCCTGCTACGATTGTCTGAATGTTTGTCCGTAACATAGGGTTCCAGAACACTCTCTCTGTTTTTTGAATGTTTGTCCCTCACATAGGATTCCAGAACCCTGCTACGATTGTCTGAATGTTTGTCCCTCACATAGGATCCCAGAACACTGCCACGATTGTCTCAATGCTTGTCCCTCACATAGGATTCCAGAACACTGCTACGACAGTCTAAATGTTTGTCCCTCACATAAGATTCCTGAACACTGCTATGATTGAATGTTTGCCCCCACATAGGATTCCAGAATACTGCTACGAGGGTCTGAAAGTTTGTCTCTCATATAGGATTCCAGAACACTGCTAAGATTTTTTGAATGCTTGTCACTCACGTGGGATTCCAGAACACTCGCGCTGGGGTCTGAATGTTTATCCCTCACACAAAATTCCAGAACACTGCCACGAGGGTCGGAATGATTGTCCCTCACATAGGGTTCCAGAACACTGCTGCTGGAGTCTACAAGTAGGTCTGTCACATAGGGTTCCAGAACACTGCTACAGGAATCGGAGTGTTTCTCCCTCACATAGAATTCAAGAACACTGCGAGGAGGGTCTGAATGTTTTTCCTTGTCATAGGATTCCAGAACACACCTGCAGTTGTTTGAATGTTTTTCCCTCACATAGGATTCCAGAACACACCTGCAGTTGTTTGAATGTTTTTCCCTCACATAGGATTCCAGAATACTGCTGCTGTGGTCTGAATGTTTGTCCCTCACACAGAATTCCAGAACACTGCTACGACGTTCTGAATGATTTACCCTCACATACGATTCCCGAAGACTGTTCCTGGGGTCTGAATGTTTGTCCCTCACATAGGCCTTCAGAACACTGCTGCTGGGTTCTACATGTATGTCCGTCACATAGGATTCCAGAACACTGCTAAGAGGATCCGAATGTTTGTCCCTCACATACGATTCCAAAACACTCCTGCTATGTTCTGAGTGTTTGTCCCTCACATAGTATTCCAGAACAATCCTGCTGTGGTGTGAATGTTTGTCCCTCACATAGGGTTCCAGAACACTGTTGCTGGGTTTTGAGTGTTTCTCCCTCACATAGGAATCCAGAACACTGCTACAAGGGTCTGAATGCTTGTCCCTCACATGGGATTCCAGAACACTGCAGTTGCAGTTGGGGTCTTAATGTTTGTCCGTTACATAGGATTCCAGAACACTGCTAAGAGGATCCGAATGTTTGTCCCTCATATAGGATTCCAGAACACCGCAACTAGGTTCTGAATGATTTACCCTCACATAGGATTCCAGATCACTGCTAAGAGGATCCGAATGTTTGTCCCTCATAGGATTCCAGAACACTGTTACTAGGATCTGAATATTTGTTACTCACAGGGGATTGCAGAACACTCCAGCTGTGGTCTGAATGTTTGTCCCTCAAATAGGATTCCAGAACACTGCTATGAGTGTCTGAAAGTTTTTCCATCACACAGAATTACAGGACACTGCTGTTACCGTCTACATGTATGTCTGTCACATAGGATTTAAGAACATTGCTGCCGGTTTCTGAGTGTTTCACCCTCACATAGAATTCCAGATCACTGAGACGAATTTCTGAATGTATGTCCGTAACTTAGGATTCCAGAACACTTACTCTGTTGTTGGAATGTTTGTCCCTCACATACGATTCCAGAACACTGCTGTTGTAGTCTGAATGTTTCTCCCTCACATAGGATTCGAGAACACAGCTACGATTGTCTCAATGTTTGTCCCTCACATAGGATTCCAGAAAAATGCTACAAGGGTCTGAATATTTGTCACTTACATAGGATTCCAGAACACTGCTACAAGTGTCTGTATGTTTGCCCCTCACATAGGATTCCAGAACACTGCTACGATTGTCTGAATGATTGTCCCTCCCATAGGATTCCAGAACACTCCTGCTGGGGTCTGAATGATTTTCCCTCACATAGGATTCCAGAATACTGCTGCTGGGTTCTCACTGTTTCTACCTCACATAGAATTCCAGAGCACTGAGACGAGGTTCTGAATATTTGTCCATAACCAGGGATTGCAGAACACTCCCGATCTTGGTTCAATGTTTCTCCCTCACATAGGATTACAAAACACTGCTGCTGGGGTCTGAATTTATTTCCCTTTCTTGAGATTCCAGAACATGGCTACGATTTTCTGAATGTTTGTCCCTCACATAGGATTCCAGAACACTGCTATGAGGGTCTGAATGTTTCTCCCTCATATTGGATTCCAAAACACTCCCGCTGTGTTTGAGTGTTTGTCCCTCACGTAGGATTCCAGAACAATCCTGCTGTGGCCTGAATGTTTGTCCCTCACATAGGGTTCCAGGACACTGTTGCTGGGTTCTGAGTTCTTTTCCCTCACACAGGATTCCTGTACACTGCAACGAGTGTCTGAATGTTTGTCTCTCACAGGATTACAGAACACTGCTTCTGAGGTCTAAATGTTTGTCCATCACATAGGATTCCAGAACACTGCTATGAGGTTCTGAATGTTTGTTCCTCACAGTGGATTCCAGAAGACTCTTGCTGTGGTCTGAATGTTTGTCCCTCACAAAGGATTCCAGAACACTGCTCTGATGGTCTGAATCTTTGTCCTTCACACAGAATTCGAGAACACTGCTACGACGGTCTGAATGCTTGTCCCTCACATAGGGTTCTAGAACACTGCTGCTGTGGTCTGAATGTATGTCCCTCATGTAGGATTCGAGAACACTGCTGCTGGGTTCTGATTGTTTCTCCCTCAAATAGAATTCCAGAGCACTGCGGAGAGGATCTGAATTTTTGTCCATAACTTAGGATTCCAGAACACAGCCTCTGTAGTTTGAATGTTTGTCCCTCATATAGGATTCCAGAACACTGCTGATGGGGTCTGAAAGTTAGTCCCTCACATAAGATTCCAAAACACTGCTACGATTGTCTGAATGTTTTCCCTCACATAGGATTCCAGGGCACTCCTGCCGTATTATGAATGTTTGTCCCTCACATAGTATTCCAGAACACTGCTGCTCGGGTCTACATGTATGTCCGTCACATAGGATTCCAGTACACTGTTGCTGGGTTCTGAGTGTTTCTCCCTCACATAGAATTCCAGAACACTGTGACGAGGGTCTGAATGTTTGTCCATAACATAGGATTCCAGAACACTCCCACTGTTGTATCAATGTTTATAGCTCACATAGGATTCTGGAACACTGCTGCTGGGGTCTGAATGTTTGTCCCTCGCAAAGAATTCCCGTACACTGCTAAGATTGTATGAATGTTTGTCTCCCACATAGGATTCCAGAACACTGCTACGAGTGTCTGAAAGTTTTTCCCTCACATAGGATTCCAAAACACTCCTGCTATGTTCTGAGTGTCCCTCACATAGGACTCCAGCATAATCCTGCTGTGGCCTGAATGATTGACCCTCACATAGGGTTCCAAAACACTGCTGTTGGGTTCTGAGTGTTTGTCTCTCACATAGGATTCCAGAACACTACTACCAGGGTCTGAATGTTTGTTCCTCACACAGTATTCCAGAAAACTGCTTCTGGGGACTTAATGTTTGTCCGTCACATAGGATTCCAGAACACTGATATGAGGCTCTGAATGTTTGTTCCTCACCGGGGATTCCAGAACACTGCTATGAGGGTCTGAATGTTTGTCCCACACAGAGAATTCCAGAACACTGCTATGAGGGTCTGAATGACTATCCTTCACATAGGATTCCAGAATACTACGGCTGCTGTCTGAATATTTGTCCCTCACATAGGATTCCAGAACACTGCTGCTGGGGTCTACATGTATGTCTGTCACATAGGGTTCCAGAACACTGCTGCTGGGTTCAGAGTGTTTCTCCCTCAGTTAGAATTCCAGAACACTGCGACGAGGATCTGAATGTTTCTCTGTAACAGAGGATTCCAGAACACTCTTGCTGTTGTTTGAATGTTTGTCCCCCACATAGGATTCGAAAACACTGCTGCTGGGGTCTGTATGTTTGTCCGTCACATAGGTTCCTGAACACTACTACGATTGTTTCAATGTTTGTCCCTCATATAGGATTATAGAACACTGCACTGAGTGTCTGAATGTTTGTCCCTCACTTGAGGTTCCAGAGCACTGCTGCTGGGCTCTAAATGTTGGTCCGTCACATAGGATTCCAGAACTATGCTACGAGGGTCCGGATATTTGTTCCTCCCATTGGATTCCAGAACAATCCTGCTCTAGTCCGAATGTTTGTCCTTCATATAGGCTTCCAGAACGCTGCTATGGGGGTCTGAAGCTTCCTCCCTCACAAACATCTCCAGAACACTGCTACAAGGGTCTGAATGATTGACCCTCACAGAGGATTCCAGAACACTGCTTTTGAGATCTGAATGTTTGTCTTCACATATGATTCAAGAACACTGCTGCTGGCGTCTACATGTATGTCCATCACATAGGATTCCAGAACACTCCTGTTGGTTTCTGAGTGTTTCTCTCTAACACAGAATTCCAGAACACTGCGACGAGGTTCTGAAAGTCTGTCTGTTACATAGGATTCGACAACACTCCCGCTGTTGTTTGAATGTTTGTTCCTCACATAGGATTCCAGAACGCTGCTGGGGTCTGAATATTTGTCCCTCACATAGGATTCCAGAACATGGCTAAGATTATCTGAATGTTTGTCCCTCACATGTGATTCGAGAACAATGCTACGAGTGTCTGAATGTTTTTTCCTCACGTAGGATTCAAGAGCACTGCTGCTGGGGTCTAAAGGTTCGTCCCTCACATAGGATTCCAGAACACTGCTACGAGGGTCTGAATGTTTTTTCCTCACAGAGGATTCCAGAACAATCCTCCTGTGGTCTGAATGTTTGTCCCTCACGTAGGATTCCAGAACACGGCTTTGAGGATCTCAATATATGGCTCTTACACAGAATTCCACAACGCAGCTACGAACGTCTGAATGAATGTCCCTCACATAGGATTCTGGAACACTGCTACGATTGTCTGAATGTTTGTCCCTCACTTAGGATTCCAGGACACTGCTACGAAGGTCTGAATATTAGTCCCTCACATAGGATTCCAGAGCAATCCTGCTGTGGTCTGAATGTTTCTCACTCACATAGTGTTCCAGAATGCTGTCGCTGGGTTCTAAATGTCTGTCCCTCACAAAGGATTCCATAACACGGCTACAAGGGTCTGAATGATTGTCCCGCAATTAGGATTCCAGAACACTGCTGCTGGCGTCTAAATGTTTGTCCGTCACACAGGATTCCAGAACACTGCTAGGAGGATCTGAATGTTTGTTCCTCACAGGTGATTCCAGAACACTCCTGCTGTGGGTCTGAATGTTTTTCCCTCACACATGATTGCAGAACAGTGGTAAGAGAGTCTGAAAGTTTGTACCTCACACAGAATACCAGAACACTGCTACGAGGTCCTGAATCATTGTCCTCACATAGGATTCCAGAACACTGCTCCTGGGGTCTGAATGTTTCTCCCTCACATGAGATTCGAGGACACTGCTGCTGGGGTCTACATGTATGTCCGTCACATAGGATTCCAGAGCACTCCTGCTGGGTTCTGAGTGTTTCTCCCTTACATAGAATTCCAAACACTGAGAGGAAGGTCTGAATGTTTGTCCGTCACATAGGATTCGTGAACAC
Organism: Homo sapiens; assembly: GCF_000001405.40. Classification (NCBI taxonomy): domain Eukaryota; kingdom Metazoa; phylum Chordata; class Mammalia; order Primates; family Hominidae; genus Homo; species Homo sapiens. The sequence continues at coordinate 21,313 of NW_021160026.1, read as the reverse complement.
TCACACTGTTGTTTGAATGTTTGTCTCACACATAGGATTCCAGAACACTGCTCCTGGTGTCTGAATCACATAGGATTCCAGAATAATCCTACGAGGGTCTGAATATATGTTCCTCATATAGGATTCCAGAATAACCCTACGAGGGTCTGAATATGTTTTTCCTCACATAGGATTCCAGAACACTGCTGCTGGTGTCTAAATGTGTCTACTTGTTAGGATTCCAGAACACTCCCGCTGTTGTTTGAATGTTTGTCCTTCACATAGGATTCCAGCACACTGCTGCTGGGATCTCAATGTTTGTCCCTCACATAGGATTCCAGAACACTGCTACGATATTCTGAAAGTTTGTTCCTCACAGAGGATTCCACAACACTGCTGCTGTGGTCTGAAAGTTTGTCTCTTGCATTGGATTCCAGAACACTGCTATGAGTGTCTGAATGTTTGTCTGACACATAGGATTCCAAAACACTCCTGCTCCGTTCTGAGTGTTTGTCCCTCACATAGGACTCCAGTATAATCCTGCTGTGGTCTGAATCTTTGTCCCTCACATAGCGTTCCAGAACAGTGCTGCTGGGTTCTGAGTGTTTGTTCCTACATAGGATTCCGGAACACTGCTACTAGCGTCTGAATGTTTTTTGCTCACACGGGATTCCAGAACACTGCTGATGGGGTCTAAATGTTTGTCCATCACATAGGATTCCAGAACACTGCTACGAGGGTATGAATGTTTTTCCTCACAGGGGATTCCAGAACACGCCTACTGTTGTCTGAATGTTTCTCCCTCACATAGCTTTCCAGAACACCGCTATGAGTGTCTGAATGTTTGTCTCTCACACAAAATTCCAGAACACTCTTACGAGGGTCTGAATGATTGTCCCTGACTTGGGATTCCACAATAATGCTGTTGCGGTCTGAATGCTTGTCCCTCACGTAGGATTCCCGAACACAGCTGCTGAGGTCTACATGTGTGTCTGTCATAGAGGATTCCAGAACACTGCTTCTGGGTTCAGAGTGTTTCTGCCTCACACAGAATTCCAGAAAACTGTGACGAGGTTCTGAATGTTTGTCCCTCACATGGGATTCCAGAATAACTCTACTAAGGTCTGAATGTTTGTGCCTCTCATAGGATTCCACAACACTGCTGCTGGTTTCTAAATGTTTGTCCATTACCTAGGATTGCAGAACACTCTCGCTGTTGTATGAATGTTTGTCTCTCACATAGGATTCCAGAACATTGGTTCTGAGTTCTGAATGTTTGTCTCTCACATAAGATTCCAGAACATTGTTGCTGAGTTCTGAATGTTTGTCTCTCACATAAGATTCCAGAACATTGTTGCTGAGTTCTGAATGTTTGTCTCTCACATAAGATTCCAGACCACTGCTGTGATTTTCTGAAAGTTTGCCCCTCACATAGGATTCCACAGCACTGCAAAGAGGGTCTGAATATTTTGTCCCTCACATAGGATTCCAATACACTCCCGCTGTTTTCTGTTTTTCCCACACATGGGATCCCAAAGCAATCCTGCTGTGGTCTGAATGTTTGTCCCTCACATCGGGTTCTAGAACACTGGTGCTGGTTTCTGAGTGTTTGCCCCTCAGATAGGATTCCAGAACTCTGCTATGAAAGTCTGAATGTTTGTCCCTCACACAGGATTCCAGAACACTTTTGCTGGGGTCTAAATGTTTGTCCCTCACCTAGGATTCCAGAACACTGCTGCGAGGGTCTGAATGTTTTTTCCATACAGGGGATTCCAGAATACTCCTGCTGTGTTCGGAATGACTATCCCTCACACAGGATTCCAGTACACTGCCACGATGGTCTGAATGTTTGCCCCTCACGCAGAATTCCAGAACACTACTACGAGAGTCTGAATGATGGTCCCTCACAGAGGATTCCAGAACACTGCTGCTGGAGTCTGAATGTTTGTCCGTCACATAGGATTCCGGAACACCGCTGCTGGGGTCTATGTGTATGTCCGTCACACAGGATTCCAGAACACAGCTGCTGGGTTCTGTGTGTTTCCCCCTCACTTTGAATTCCAGAGCACTGTGACAAGGGTCTGAATGTTTGTCAGTAACATACTATTTCAGAACACTCCCGCTGTTGTTTGAATGTTTTTCCCTCACATAGGATTCCAGAACACTGCTACTGGGGTCTGAATGTTTTTCCCTAGCATAGGATTCCAGAACACTGCTACGATTGTCTGAATGTTTGTCCCTCACTTAGGATTCCAGAACACTGCTACGAGTGCCTGAATGTTTCTCCGTCACATAGCATTCCAAAACAATCCTGCTGTGTTCTCAGTGTTTGTCCCTCACATATAGTTCCAGAACACGGCTGCTGGGTTCTGAGTGTTTGTCCCTTTATAGGATTCCAGAACACTGCTCCGAGGGTGTGAATGTTTGTCCCTCACACAGGATTCCAGAACACTGCTGCTGGGGTCTAAATGTTTGTCTGTCATATAGGATTCCAGAACACTGCTACGAGGGTCTGAATGGTTCTTCCTCACAGAGGATTCCAGAACATGCCTGCTGTGGTCTGAATGTTTGTCCCTCACATAGGTTTCCAGAACACTGCTATGAGGGTCTGAATGTTTGTCCATCACACGGAATTCCAGAACACAGCTACGAGGGTCTGAATGATTGTCCCTCACACAGGATTCCAGAACACTGCTGCTGCCGTCTGAAAGTTTGTCCCTCACATAGGATCGCAAAGCACTGCTACTGAGGTCTGCATGTATGTCTGTCACTCAGGATTCCAGAACACTGCTGGTGGATTCTGAGTGTTTCTCCCTCACATGTAATTCAAGAAGACTGCGACAAGGATCTGAATGTTTGCCCGTAACAAAGGATTCCAGAACATTCCCGCTGTGATTTTAATGTTCGTCACTCACATAGGATTCCAGAACAATGCTGCTGGGGTCTAAATATTTGTCCGTCACAAAGGATTCTAGAACACTGCTATGATTGTCTCAATGTTTTTCTCTCACATAAGATTCTAGAACACTATACTGAGGGTCCTAATGTTTGTCCCTCCCACAGGATTCCAGAACACTGCTCCTGTTGTCTAAATATTTGTCCTTTACCTAGGATTGCAAAACACTCCCTCTGTTGCTTGAATGTTTGTCCCTCACATTGGATTCCAGAACACTGCTGCTGGGTTCTGAATGTTTGTCCCTCACCTAGGATACCAGACCACTGCAACGATTTTCTGAAAGTTTGTCCCTCACATAGGATTCCAGAACATTGCTGCTGCAGTCCAAATGTTTGTCCGTCACATAGGATTCCAGAACATTGCTGCGAGGGTCTGAATGTTTATTCCTCACATAGGATTTGAGAACACTTAGTGTTCCAGAACACTCCTGCTGTGGTCTGAATGTTTGTCCCACAGATAGGCTTTCATAACACTGCTATGAAGTAATGAATGTTTCTCCATCACACAGAATTCCGGAACACTGCTACGTGGGTCTGAACGATTGTCCCTCATGCAGAACTCCAGAACACAGCTATGAGAGTCTGAATGATTGTCCCTCAAATAGGATTAAAGAACACTGCTGCTGGGGTCTGAATGTTTGTCCCACACATCGGATTCCAGAACACTGCTGCTGTGTTCTCAGTGTTTTTCCCTCACATAGAATACCAGAACACTGCTACGATGGTCTGAATGTTTGTCCGTAACATAGGATTCCAGAACAATCCCGCTGTTGTTTGAATGTTTGAACCCCACATAGGATTCCAGAACACTGTTGCTGGGGTCTGAATGTTTGTCCCTCACATAGGATTCCAGAACAATGCTACGATTGTCTGAATGTTTGTCCCTCACATAGGATTCCTGAACAGTGCTACTAGGGTCTGAATATTTGTCCCTCAGATAGGATTCCAAAACACTACGGATGTGTTCTGGGTGATTGTCCCCCACATAGGGTTCCAGAACAACCCTGCTGTCATCTGAATATCTGTCCCTCAAATAGGGTTACAGAACACTGCTAGGAGGGTCTGAATGTTTGTTCCTCACAGGGGATTCCAGAACTCTCCTGCCATCATCTGAATAATAGTCCCTCACACAGGATTGCAGAACACTGCTACGAGGGTCTGAATGTTTGCCCCTCACACAGAATTCCAGAACACTGCTTCGAGGGTCTGAATGATGGTGCCTCACATAGGATTCCAGAACACTGCTGCTGGGTTCTGAATGTTTGTCCCTCACAAAGGATTACAGGACAATGCTGCTGGGGACTGAATGTTTGCCCCAATATAGGATTCCACAACTCTACTGCTCTTGTCTAAATGTATGTCCGTCACATAGGATTCCAGAACAATACTGCTGGTTTCTCAGTGTTTCTCCATCACATAGAATTCCAGATCACCGCGAGGAGTCTCTGAATGTTTGTCCATAACATTGGATTCCAGAACACTGCTGCTGGGTTCCGAATGTTTGTCACTCACAGAGGATTCCAGAACACTGCTACGATTGTCTGAATGTTTGTCTCTCATATAAGATTCCAGAACACTCCTAAGAGGGTCTGAATGTGTGTCCCTCACATAGATTTCCAGGACACTACTACTATTGTCTGAATATTTTTCCCACACTTAGGATTCCAGAACACTGCTACGAGGGTCTGAATGATTGTATCTCATACAGAATTCCAGAACACTGCTACGAGGATCTGAATGATTGTCCCTCACATAGGATTCAAGAACACTGCTGCTGGGGTCTGAATGTTTGTCTCTCACATAGGATCCCAGAACACTGCTGCTGGCGTCTATATGTGTGTCTGTCACATAGGATTCGAAAACACTGCTACTGGGTTCTGGCTGTTTCTCCCTGACATAGAATTCCAGAACACTGTGACGAGGTGCTGAATGTTTGTCTCTCACATAGGATCCCAGAACACTGCTGCTGAGGTCTATATGTGTGTCCGTCACATAGGATTCCAAAACACTGCTACTGTGTTCTGGCTGTTTCTCCCTGACATAGAATTCCAGAACACTGCGACGAGGTTCTGAATGTTTGTCCGTAACATAGGATTCCAGAAAACTCCCCCCCGTGATTTATATGTTTGTCCCTCACATTGGATTCCAGAACACTGCTGCTGGGTTCCGAATGTTTGTCCTTCACGGAGGACTCCAGAACACTGCTACAATTGTCTGAATGTTTGTCCCTCACATAAGATTCCAGAACACTCCTAAGAGGGTCTGAATGTTTGTCCATCACATAGATTTCCAGAATACTGCTACGATTGTCTGAATGTTTGTCCCTCACATAAGATTCCAGAACAGTCCTAAGAGGGTCTAAATGTTTGTCCCTTACATAGATTTCCAGAATATTGCTACGATTGTCTGAATATTTGTCCTACACTTAGGATTCCAGAACATTGTTACGAGGGTCTGCATGATTGTCCCTGACATAGGATTCGAGAACACTGCTGCGGGGGTCTGAATGTTTGACCCTCACATAAGATCCAAGAACACTGCTGCTGGGGTCTATATGTACGTCCGTCACATAGGATTCCAAAACACTGCTGCTGGGTTCTGACTGTTTCTCCCTGACATAGAATTCCAGAAAACTGCGACGAGGTTCTGAATGTTTGTCCATAACATAGGATTCCAGAACCCACCCCCCGTTGTTTAAACGTTTGTCCCTAATATTGGATTCCAGAACACTGCTGCTGGGTTCCGAATGTTTGTCCCTCACAGAGGATTCCAGAACACTGCTACGATTGTCTGAATGTTTGTCCCTCACATAGGATTCCAGAACCCTCCTAAGAGGGTGTGAATGTTTGCCCCTCACATAGATTTCCAGAACACTGCTACGATTGTCTGAATGTTTGTCCTACACTTAGGATTCCAGAACACTGCTATGAAGGTCTGAATGATTGTCCCTCAGGTAGGATTCGAGAACACTGCTGCTGAGGTCTGAATGTTTGTCCCTCACATAGGATCCCAGAACACTGCTGCTGGGGTCTATATGTATGTCCATCACATAGGATTCCAAAACACTGCTGCTGAGTTCTGACTGTTTCTCCCTGAGATAGAATTCCAGAACACTGTGACGAGGTACTGAATGTTTGTCCATAGCATAGGATTCCAGAACCCACCCACCGTTTTTTGAATGTTTGTCCCTCACATTGGATTCCAGAACACTGCTGCTGGGTTCTGAATGTTTGTCCCTCACAGAGGATTCCAGAGCACTGCTACGATTGTCTGAATGTTTGTCTCTCACATAGGATTCCAGAACAATCCTGCTGTGATCTGAAGGTTTGTCCCACACGTAGGGTTCCAGAGCACTGCTGCAGTGTTATGAATGATTCTCCCTCACGTAGAATTCCAGAACACTGCGACGAGGTTCTGAATGTTTGTCCGTAACATAGGATTCCAGAACCTCCACCATGTATATTAAATGTTTGTCCCTCACATTGGATTCCAGAACACTGTTACGATTGTCTGAATGTTTGTCCTTCACATAGGATTGCAAAACACTGCTATGGGGTTCTGAATGTTTGTTCCTCACATAGGATTCCAGAACAATCCTGCTGTGTTCTGAATGCTAGTTCTTCCCATAGGATTCCTGAACAATGCCACCAGGTTCTAAATGTTTGCTCCGCACATAGGATTCCAAAACACTGCTACGATTGTCTGAAGGTTTGTCCTTCACATAGGATTCCACAACACTGCTACGGGGGTCTGAATGTTTGTTCCTCACATAGGATTCCAGAACACTCCCTCTGTGTTCTGAATGTTTGTTTCTCCCATAGGATTCCCGAACACTGTCACGAGGTTCTGAATGTTTGTTCCGCACATAGGATTCCAAAACACTCCTGCTGTGTTCCGAGTGTTTGTCCCTCACATAGGATGCCAGAACAATCCTGCTGTGGTCTGAATGTGAGTCCCTCACATGGGTTCCAGAACACTGCTGCTGGGTTCTGAGTGTTTGTCCCTCTCACAGGATTCCAGAACACTGCTACAATTCTCTCAATGTTTGTCCCTCACATAGGATTCCAGAACACTGCTGTGAGAGTCTGAATGTTTGTCCCTCACATAGGATTCCAGAATACTGCTGCTAGGGTCTAAATGTTTGTCCATCACATAGGATTCGAGAACACTGCTACAAGGTTCTGAATGTCTATTCCTCACGGGGGATTCCAGAACACTCCTGCTGTGGTCTGTATATTTGTGTCTCACACGGAATTCCAGAACACTGTTTCCAGGGTCTGAATGATTGTCCCACACATAGGATTCCAGAACACAGCTACTGGGGTCCAAATATTTGTCCCTCGCATAGGATTCCAGAACACTGCTGCTGGTGTATACATGTATATCAGTCACATAGGATTCCAAAACACTGCTGCTGGGTTCTGTGTGTTTCTCCCTCACATAGAATTCCATAACACTGTGAAGAGATTATTAATGGTTGTCCGTAACATAGGATTCCAGAACAATCTCGCTGTTGTTTGAATGTTTTTCCCTTACATATGTTTCCAGAACACTGCTTCGTTTGTCTGAATGTTTGTCCCTCACATAGGATTCCAGAACACTGCTGGGAGGGTCTGAATGTTTTTTCCTCACATGGGATTCCAGAACACTGCTATGATTGTCTGAATGTTTTTCCCTGTCTTAGGATTCCAGAACACAGCCACGAGGGTCTGAATGATTGTCCCTCACATAGGATTCCAGAACATTGCTACGATTGTCTGAATGTTTGTCCCTCACATAGGATTCCAGAACACTGCTACAATTCTCTGAATGTTTGTCCCTCACACAGGATTCCAGAATACCACTATGAGCGTTTGAATATTTATTCCTCACATAGGATTCCAGAACATTGCTGCTGTGATGTACATGTATGTCTATCACACAGGACTCCCAAAGACTGCTGCTTGGTTCTAAGTGTTTCTTCCTCACATAGAGTTCCAGTAAACTGAGACGAAAGTCTGAATGTTTCTCCGTAACATAGTATTCGAGAACACTCCCTCTGTTGTTTGAATGTTTGTCCCTCACATAAGATTCCAGAACACTGCTGCTGGCGTCTGAGTTTTTGTCCCTCACATCGGATTCCAGAACATTCCTGTTGTTATCTGAATGTTTCCCCCACACATAGGATTCCAGAACACTGCTACGAGGATCTGAACATTTATCCCTCACATAAGATTCAAAAACACTTCTGCTGTGTTCTGAGTGTTCGTTCCACCCATAGGGTTCCAGAACAATCCTGCTGTGGTCTGAATGTTTGTCACTCACATAGGCTTTCAGGACACTGCGGCTGGGTTCTGAGTATTTGTCCCTTAATAGGATTCCAGAACAGTGCTACGAGGGTCTGAATGTGTGTTCCTCACATAGGATTCCAGAACACTGCTGCTGGGGTCTAAATGTTTGTCACATAGGATTCCAGAACACTGCTACGAGGGTCTGAAAGTTTGTCCCTCACGCAGAATTCCAGAACACTGCTAGGAGGGTCTCAATGATTGTCCCTCACATAAGATTCAAGAACAATGTTCCAGGCGTTTGAATGTTAGTCCCGCATATAGGATTCCAGAACATTGCTGCTGGGGTCTACATGTATGTCTGACACATAGTATTAAAGAACACTGCTGCTGGGTTCTGAGTATTTCTCCCTCACATGGAATTCCAGAACACTGTGACGAGGGTCTGAATGTTTGTCAGTAACATGGGATTCCAGAACACTCCCATTGTTGTTTGAATGTTTGTCCCTCACATAGGATTCCAGAACACTGCGGCTGTGGTCTGAATGTTTGTCCCTCACACAGGATTCCAGAACACTGCTACGATTGTCTGAATGTTTGTCCCACGTATAGGATTCCAGAACACCCATACGAGGGTCTGAATATTTGTCCCTAACACAGGAGTCCAGAAAACTGCTACGATTGTCTGAAGGATTGTCTCTACATAAGATTCCAGAACACTGCTACGATTGTCTGTAGGATTGTCTCTACATAAGATTCCAGAACACTGCTACGATCGTCTGAATGGTTCTCACTCACATAGGATTCCAGAAAACTGGACGACGGTCTGAATGTTTCTCCCTCAGATAGGATAAAAATCACTCCAGCCGTGTTCTGAGTGTTTTTCCCTCACATAGGATTCCAGAACAATCCTGCTGTAGTGTGAATGTTTGTCCCTCAGATAGGATTCCAGAACATTGCTAAGATTTTCTGAATGTTTGTCATTCACATAGGATTCCAGAACACTGCTACGAGTGTCAGAATGATTATCCGTCACATAGGATTCCAGAATACCACTGGGAGTGTCTAATGTTTGTTCCTCACTGGGGATTCCAGAACACTCCTGCTGTGATCTGAATGATTGTCCCTCACACAGGATTCCAGAACACTGCTACGCGTGTTTGAATGATTTTCCCTCACATAGGATTCCAGAATACTGCTGCTGGGGTCTGAATGTTTGTCCCTCACATAGGATTCCATAACAATGCTGATGGCGTCTGAATGTTTGTCCGAAACATAGGACTCCAAATCACTCCCCCTGTTGCTTGAATGTTTGTCCCTCACGTAGGATTCCAGAACACTGCTACGAAAGTCTGAGTGTTTGTCCCATACATAGTATTCCAGAACACTGCTGGGAGGTTCTGAATGTTGGTTCCACACATAAGATTCCAGAACATTATTACAAGGCTCTGAATGTTTGTCCCTCACATAGCATTCCAGAACATTGCTGCGAGGGTCTGAATGTTTGTACCTCACATAGGATTCCAGACCACTCCTGCTGTGGTCTTAAAGTTAGTCTGTCACATAGAATTCCAGAACACTGCTACAAGGGTCTGAATGTTTGTCACTCACATAGGATTCCAGAACACTGCGGCGAGAATCTGAATGTTCCTCACTGGGGATTCCAGGACATTCCTGCAGTTGTCTTAATGTTTGTCCCTGACAAAGGATTCCAGAACACTGCTAGGAGGGTCTGAAAGTTTCTCTGTAACATAGGATTCCAGAACACTCCCGCTGTTGCATGAACGTTTGTCGCTAACATAGGATTCAAGAACACTGCTTCTGGGGTCTGAAGATTTGTCCTTCACATAGGATTCCAGAACACTGCTATGACTGTCCGAATGTTAGTCCCTCACATAGAATCCCAGAACACTGCTAAGAGGGTCGGAATGATTGTCCCACACATAGGATTCGAGAACACTCCTGCTGTGGTCTTAATGTTTGTCTCTCACATATGATTCCAGAGCACTGCTAAGAGTGTCTGAATGTTTTTCCCTCACATAGGATCCCAGAACACTGCTGCTGGTGTCTATATGTTTCTCCGACACATAGGATTCCAGAACACTGCTACGGGGGTCTGAATATCTGTTTCTCACAGGGGATTAAAGAACACTCCTGCTGTGTTCTAAATGTTTGTCCCTCACACACTCTATCAGAACACTGCTATGAGGGTCTATATGTTTTTCCCTCACACAGAATTCCAGAACAATGTTACTAGGGTTTGAATGATCGTCCCTCACATAGGATTCCATAACACTGCTGCTGGGTTCTGAATGTTTGTCCCTCACATAAGATTCCAGAACACTGCTGCTGTGATCTGCATGTATGTCCATCACATAGGATTCCAGAAAACTGCTGCTGGGCTCTGAATGTTTCTCTCTCAAATAGAATTCCAGAACACTGCCACAAGGTTCTGAATGTGTGTCCATAACATAGGATTCAAGAACACTTCCACTGTTGTTCGAAGATTTGTCGATCACATAGGATTCCAGAACACTGCTACAATTGTCTGCATGTTTGTCCCTCACGTAGGATTCCAGGACACTACTACGAGGGTCTCAAAGTTTGTCCCTCACATAGGATTCCACAACACTCCTGCTGTGTTCTGAGTGTTTGTTCCTCACATAGGATTCCAGAACAATCCTTCTGTGTTCTGAATATTTGTCTCTCTCTTAGGATTCCAGAACACTGCTTCGATTGTCTGAATGTTTGTCCCTCACACAGGATTCCAGTACACTGCTATGATGGTCTGTATGTTTTTCCCTCACATAGGATTCCAGAACACTGCTGCTGGGGTCTAAATGTTTGTTCATCACATAGGATTCCAGAACACAGCTATGAGGGTGGAAATGCTTGTACCTCACATGAGATTCCAGAACACTCCTGCTGTGGTCTTAAAGCAAGTCCCTCACATAGATTCCAGAACATTCCTACAAGGGTCTGAATGTTTGTCACTAACATAGGATTTCAGAACACCGCTGCTGGGGTCTAAATGTTTGTCCGTCACATAGAATTCCAGAACACTGCTATGAAGGTCTGAACATTTGTTCCTCACTGGGGATTCCAGAACAATCCTGCTGTGGTCTGAATGTTTGTCCCTCACACAGGATTCCAGAACACTGCTACGAGCATACGAATGATTGTCTGCAACATAGTATTCCAAAACACTGTTACGAGTGTCTGAATGTTTGTCCCTCACATAGTATTCCAGAACACTGCTAAGATTGTCTGAATGTTTGCCACTCACGTAGGATTCCAGAACCCTGCTATGAGTGTGAGAATGTTTGTCCCTCACATAGGATTCCAAAACACGCCTGCTGTGCTCTGAGTGTCAGTCCCTCATGTAGGATTCCAGAACAATCCTGCTGTGTTCTGAATGGTTGCCCCTCACATATAGTTACAGAACACTGCTGCTTGGTTCTGAGTGTTTGTCCATCACATGGGATTCTAGAACACAGCTGTGAGGGTCTGATTGTTTTTACCTTACAAAGGATTGCAGAACACTGCTGCTGGGGTCTAAAAGTTTCTCCGTCACACACTATTCCAGAGCACTCCTACGAGGGTCTGAATGTTTGTCCCTCATTTAGGATTCCACAACACTTCTGCTGGGGTGTGAATGTTTGTCCCTCACACAAAATTGTAGAACACTGCTATGACGATCTGAATGATTGTCCCTCATTTAGGATTCCAGAACACTCCTGCTGTTTTCTGAGTGTTTGTCCCTCATTTAGGATTCCAGAACACTCCTGCTGTTTTCTGAGTGTTTGTCCCTCACATAGGATTGCAAAACTATCCTCCTGTCGTCGGAATATTTATCTCTCACATAGGGTTTCAGAACACTGCTGCAGGGTTCTGAGTGTTTGTCCCTCACATAGGATTCCAGAACACTGCTACGAAGGATCTGAATGTTTGTCCCTCACATAGGATGCCAGAACACTGCTGCTGGGGTCTAGATTTTTGTCCGTCACACCGGATTCCAGAACCCTCCTATGAGGGTCTGAATGTCTGTTCCTCACAGGGGATTCTGGAACACTCCTGCTGTGGTCTCAATGTTTTTCCCTCACACAGGACTACAGAACACTGCTACGGGAATCAGAATGTTTGTCCCTCACACAGAATTCCAGAACACTGGTACGAGTGTCTGAATGATTTTCCTTCACATAGGATTCCAGAACACTGTTTCTGGGGTCGTAATGTTTGTCCCTCACATAGGATTCTAGAATAGAGCTGCTGGGGTCTACAGGTATGTCCGTCGCATAGGATTCCAGAACACTGATGTTGGGTTCTGAGTGTTTCTCCCTCACATAGAATTCCAGAACACCGCTACGAGGGTCAGAATGTTTGTCCATAACATAGGATTCCTGAACAATCCCTCTGTTGTTTGAATGTTTGTCCCTCACATAGGATTCCAGAACACTGCTACAATTGTCTGAATGTTTGTCCCTCACATAGGATTCCGGAACACTGCTACAATTGTCTGAATGTTTGTCCCTCACATAATATTCCAGAACAATGCTACGACTGTCTGAACGTTTGTTCCTCACAGGGGATTACAGAACACTCCTGCTATGGCCTGAATGACTGTCCCTCACATAGGATTCCAGAACACTGCTATGAAGGTCTGAAAGTTTGTGCTTGACACAGAATTCCAGAACACTGCTACAAGGGTCTGAATGACTGTCCCTCACATAGGATTCCAAAACACTGCTGCTGGGGTCTACATCCATGTCCGTCACATAGGATTCCAGAACACTGCTATTGGGTTCTGACTGTTTCTCCATCACATATAATTCCAGAACACTGCTTCGAGCATCTGAATGTTTGTCCCTAACATAGGATTCCAGAACACTCTAGCTGTTGTTTGTATGTTTGTCCCTCACATAGGATTCCAGAACACTGCTGCTGGTGTCTGAATGTTTGTCCCTCACATAGGATTCCAGAACAATGCTACGATTGTCTGAATGTTTGTCCATCACATACCATTCCAGAACACTGCTATGAAGGTCTGAATGTTTGTCCTTCACATGGGATTCCAGAACACTGCTACGATTGTCTGAATGCTTGTCCCTCACATAGGATTCCAGAACAATCCTGCTGTTGTCTGAATGTTTGTCCCTCACACGGGATTCCAGAACACTGCAATGACAGCTTGAATATTTGTCCCTCACACAGAATTCCAGAGCACTGCTATGGGGTTCTGAATGATTGTCCAACACATAGGATTACAGAACACTGTTGTTGGGGTCTGAATGTTTGTCCCTCACACAGGATTCCAGAACACTGCTACGAGGGTCGGAATGATTTTCCCTCACAGAGGATTTGAGAACACTCCTGCTGTGTTCTGAATGTTTGTCCCTCACATAGGATTTCAGAAAATTGCTATGAGTTTCTGAATGTTTTACCCTCACACAGAATTCCAGAACACTGCTACGAGAGTCTGAATAATTGTCCCTCACATAAGATTCCATAACACTGCTGCAGGCTTCTGAATGTTTGTCCCTCACATAGGATTCCAGAACCCCCCTGCAGGGGTCTGCATGTATGTCCGTCACATAGGTTTCCAGAACACTGCTGCTGTGTTCTGAATGTTTGTCCCTCACATTATAGGATTCCAGAACCCCCCTGCAGGGGTCTGCATGTATGTCCGTCACATAGGTTTCCAGAACACTGCTGTTGTGTTCTGAATGTTTCTACCTCACATAGAATTCCAGAACACTGCCACGATGGTCTGAATGTTTGTCCGTAACACAGGATTTCAGAACACTCCCGCTGTTATTTGAATGTTTATCCCTCACATTAGATCCCAGAACACTGCTTCGAGGATCTGAATGTTTGTCCCTCACATAGGATTCCAGAACACTCCTTCTGTGCTCTGAATGTTTGTCCCTCACATAGGATTCCAGAACACTGCTACGAGGGTCTCAATGTTTTTCCTTCACATAGGATTCCAACACACTCCTGCTGTGTTCTGAGTGTTTGTCCCTCTCATAGGATTCCAGGGCAATCTTTCTGTGGTATGAATGTTTTTCCCTCACATAGGGTTCCAGAACAATGCTGCTGGGTTCGGAGTGTTTGTCTCTCACATAGGATTCCAGAACACTGCTACCAGTGTCTGAATGCTTGTCCCTCACATAGGATTCCGGAACACTTCTGCTGGGTTCTGAATGTTTGTCCCTCTCAAAGGATTCCAGAACTCTGGTACAAGTTTCTGAATGTCTGTCTCTCATATGTGATTCCATAACACTGCTTCAGTTGTCTAAATGTTTGTCCGTCATATAGGTTTCCAGAACACTGCTAGGAGGATCTGAGTGTTTATTTTTCACAGGGAATTCCAGAAGACTCCTGCTGTTGTCTGAATGATTGTCTCTCACACAGGATTCCAGAAGACTGCAACGAGGGTCTGAATGTTTGAGCCTCATGTAGGATTCCAGAACAATGGTGCTGAGGTCTGAATCTTTGTCCCTGACATAGTGATTAAGAAAACTGCTAAGAGGGTCTGAATGTTTATCCCTCATGTAGGATTCCAGAACTCTGCTCCTGGGGTCTGAAAGTTTGTCTCTCACATAGGATTCCAGGACACTGCTGCTGGGGTGTACGTGTATCTCCGTCATATAGGATTCCAGAACACTGCTGCTGGATTCTGAGTGTTTCTCCATCACATAGAATTCCAGAACACTGCCACGAGGGTCTGAGTGTTTGTCCATAACTTAGGATTCCAGAACACTCTCGCTGTTGTTTGAATGTTTGTCCCTCACATAGGATTCCAGAACACTGCTGCTGTGGTCTGAATGTTTGCCCCTCACATAGGATTCCAGAACACTGCTACTATTGTCTGAATGTTTGTCTCCTACATAGGATTCCAGAACAATGCTGCTGGATTCTATATGTTTGTTCGTCACATAGGATTCCAGAACACCCCTACGACAGTCTGAATGTTTGTCCCTCACAGGGGATTCCAGAACACTCCTGCTGTAGTCTGAGTGTTTGTCCCTCACATGGGTTTTCCAGAACACTCCTGCTGAGGTCTGAATGATTGTCCCTCACATAAGATTCCAGAAAACTGCTAAGAGGGTCTGAATGTCCCTCACATAGGATTTCAGAACACTGCTGCTGTGGTCTAAATCTTTGTCCATCACATAGGATTCCAGAACACTGCCACGAGGGTCTGAATGTTTTTCCCACAGAGGGGATTCCAGAACGGTGTGGTCTGAATGTTTGTCCCTCATACAGGGTTCCCGAACACCGCTACGAGGGAATGAATGCTTGTCCCTCACAAAGGATTCCAGAAAACTGCTACGATTGTCTGAGTGTTTGCCCCTCACATAGGATTCCGGAACACAGCTATGAGGGTTTGATTGTTTGGCCCTCATGTAGGATTCCAAAACACTCTTACGGTTTTCAGAGTGTTTCTCCCTCACATAGGATTGCAGAACAATCCTGCCGTGTTCTTAATGTTTGTCCCTCATACAGAGTTCCAGAACACTGCTGCTCGGTTCTGAATGTTTGTCCCTCACATAGGATTCCAGAACACCGCTGCTGGTGTCTACATGTATGTCCCTCCCACAGGATTCCAGAACACAGCTGATAGGTTCTACGTGTTTCTCCCTCACATAGAATTCCAGAATACTGCAACGAGGGTCTGAATGTTGGTCCGTAACATAGGATTCCAGAAGATTCCCTCTGTTGTTTGAATGTTTGTCCCTCAAATAGGATTGCAGAACACTTCTGCTGTGCTCTAAAAATTTGTACCTCACAGAGGATTCCTGAATAGTACTGATTGTCTCAGTGTTTGTCCCTCACATAGGATTCAAAGCATTCCGACGAGGGTCTGAAGGTTTGTCCCTCACATTGGATTACAGAACACTGCTACTATTGTCTGAATGTTTATCCCACACATGGGATTCCAGAACACTGCTTCGAGGGTCTGAATGTTTGTCCCTCACATAGGATTCCAGAACATTGCTGCTGGGGTCTAAATGTTTGTCTCTCACTTAGGATTCCAGAACACTGCTACAGGGGTCTGAATGTTGGATCCTCACAGGGGATTCCAGAACACTCCTGCTGTGGTCTGAATGTCAATCACATGGGATTCCAGAACACTGCTACGAGGGTCTGAATGTTTGTCCCTCACATAGGATTCCAAAACACTCCTGCAGTATTCTGAGAGCTTGTTCCTCACATAGAATTCCAGAGCATACCAGATCTGGTCTGAATCTTTATCTCTTACATAATTTTCCAGAACACCGCTGCTTGGTTCTGAGAGTTTGTCTCTCAGATAGGATACCAGAACACTGCTACAAGGGTCTCAATATTTGTCCCTCACATTGCATTCCAGAATACTGCTGCTGGCGTCTAAATGTTTGTCAGTGACATAAGATTTCAGAACACTGTTAGGGGAGTCTGAATGTTTGTTCCTCACAGGAGATTCCAGAACACTCCTGCTGTGGTCTGGATGTTTCTCTCTAACATAGGATTCCAGAACACTGCTATGGAGGTCTGAATGTTTGTCCCTCACGCAGAAATCCAGGACACTGCTATGAGGATCTGAATGTTTGTCCCTTACATAGGATTCCAAAACACTCCTGCTGTTTTCTGAGTGTATGTTACTCACATAGGAGTCCAGAACAATCCTGCTGTTGTCTGAATGTTTGTCCCTCACATAGGGTTCCTGAATGCTGCTGCTGGTTTCTGAGTGTTTGTCCCTCTTATAGGATTCCAGAACAATTCGATGAAGGTCTGAATGTTTGTCCCTCACATAGGATTCTAGAACACTGCTGCTGGGGTCTACAAGTACATCCATCATATAGGATTCCAGAAAACTGCTGCTGGGTTCTCAGTGTTCCTCCCTCACATACAATTTCAGAACACTGCGATGAGCGTCTGAATGTTTGTCCATAACATAGGATTCCAGAACACTCCCACTGTTGATTGAATGTTTTTCCCTCACAGAAGATTCCAGAACACTTGTGCTGGCTTCTGAATGTTTGTCCCTCACATAGGATTCCAAAACACTGCTACGATTGTCTGAATGTGTGTCCCTCACATACGATTCCAGAACACTGTTACGAGTGTCTGAATATTTGTCCTTAACGTAGGATTACAGAACTCTGTTATAATTGTCGGAAAGTTTGTCCCTCACATAGGATTCCAGAACACTTCTATGAGGGTCTGAATGTTTGTCCCTCACATAAAATGGCAAAACACTGAAGCTGTGTTCCAAGTATTTGTCCCTCACATAGGGACCCAGAAAAATGCTGCTGGGTTCTGAGTGTTAGTCCCTCACATAGGATTCCAGAACACTACTACTAGTGTCTGAAGGTTTGTCCCTCATATAGCACTCCAGAACACTGCTGCTGGGGTCTCAATGTTTGTCAGTCACATAGGATTCCAGAACACTGCTACGATAGCCTGAATGTTTGTTCTTCATAGGGGATTCCAGAATACTCCTGTTGTGATCTGAATATTTGTCCCTCACACTGGACTCCAGAACACTGCTACGAGGGTCTGAATGATTGTCCCTCAAGCAATATTCCAGAACACTGCTGCTGGGGTCTGAATGTTTGTTCCTCACGTAGCATTCCACAGCACTGCTTCTGGGGTCTACATGTATGTCCACCACATAGGATTCCAGAACACTGCAGCTGGGTTCTGAGTGTTTCTCCCTCACAGAGAATTCTAGAACACTGTGACGAGAACCTGAATGTTTGTCTGTAACATAGGATTCCAGAACACTCCCGCTGTTGTTTGAATGTTTGTCCCTCACATAGGATTCCAGAACACTGCTGCTTGGATCAGAAAGTTTGTCCATCACACAGGATTCCAGAACACTGCTACGATTGTCTGAATATTTCTCCCTCATATAAGATTCCAGAACACTGCTGCTGGGGTTTAAATGTTTGTCTGACACATAGGATTCCAGAAAACTGCTACGGGGTTCTGAAAGTTTGTTCCTCACAGGTGATTCCAGAACACTCCTTTTGTGGTCTGAATGTTGGCCCTGAAGCAGAATTCCAGAACAGTGCTGTGTGGGTCTGAATGATTGTCCCTTACATCGATGCCAGAACACTGCTGCAGGGGTCTGAATGATTGTCCCTCACATAGGATTCCAGAAAACTTCTAAAAGGGTCTGAATGCTTGTCCCTCACACAGAATTCCAGAGCACTGCTATGAGGGTCTGAATGATTGCAAATCACATACGATTCCAGAACACTGCTGCGGGGGTCTGAACATTTGTCAATCACATAGGATTCCAGAACACTGCTGCTGGGGTCTACATGCATGTCCATCACATAAGTTTCTAGAACACTGCTGCAGGGTCTAAATGTTAGTCTGTCACATAGGATTCCAGAACAATGCTACGAGGGTCTGAATGTTTGTCCGAAACATAGAATTCCATAATTCTCCCGCCGTTGTTTGAATGTTTGTCCTACACATAGTATTCGAAAACACTACATCTGGGGTCCGAATGTTTGTCCCTCACATAGGATTCCAGAACATCCCTGTTGTGGTCTGAATGTTCGTCCTCACACAGAATTGCAGAACACTGATACGAGTGTCTGAGTGATTGTCCCTCATGTCGGATTCCAGAAGACTGCTGCTGGGGTCTGAATTTTCTCCCTCACATAGAATTCTGAAGGGGTGGGTTGCCCCTCCACACCTGTGGGTTTTTCTTGTTAGGTGGAATGAGCGACTTGGAAAAGAAAAAGACACAGAGACAAAGTATAGAGAAAAAAATAAGGGGACCCAGGGAACCAGCGTTCAGCATATGGAGGATCCCGCCAGCCTCTGAGTTCCCTTAGTATTTATTGATCATTTGTGGGTGTTTCTCCGAGAGGAGGATGTGTCAGGGTCACAAGACAATAGTGGGGAGAGGGTCAGCAGACAAACACGCGAACAAAGGTCTTTGCATCATAGACAAGGTAAAGAATCAAGTGCTGTGCTTTTAGATATGCATACACATAAACATCTCAATGCTTTCCAAAGCAGTATTGCTGCCCGCATGTCCCACCTCCAGCCCTAAGGCGGTTTTTCCCTATCTCAGTAGATGGAACGTACAATCGGGTTTTATACCGTGACATTCCATTGCCCATGGACGGGCAGGAGACAGATGCCTTTCTCTTGTCTCAACTGCAAGAGGCATGCCTTCCTCTTATACTAATCCTCCTCAGCACAGACCATTTACGGGTGTCGGGCTGGGGGACGGTCAGGTCTTTCCCTTCTCATAAGGCCATATTTCAGACTATCCCATGGGGAGAAACCTTGGACAATACCTGGCTTTCCTAGGCAGAGGTCCCTGAGGCCTTCCGCAGTTTTTGTGTCCCTGGGTACTTGAGATTAGGGAGTAGTGATGACTCTTAAGGAGCATGCTGCCTTCAAGCAACTGTTTAACAAAGCACATCTTGCACAATACTTAATCCATTTAACCCTGAGTTTGACACAGCACATATTTCAGAGAGCACGGGTTTGGGGTAAGGTCATAGATTAACAGAATCTCAAGGCAGAATAATTTTTCTTAGTACAGAACAAAATGGAGTCTCCTATGTCTACTTCTTTCTACACAGACACAGTAACAATCTGATCTCTCTTGCTTTTCCCCACATTTCCCCCTTTTCTTTTCGACAAAACCGCCATCGTCATCATGGCCCGTTCTCGATGGTCGCTGTCTCTTCCGAGCTGTTGGGTACACCTGCAGACCAACAACAGACAAAACAGGCACACAAGGATTAATATGAGATTTACAATCGTACTACTTCCGATGGTCCTAACCCAAGTGACAGGGTTAAGATTTGCGAGGCCATCAGCAACTCCTGCAATTGCCTCAGTTCCTGCACCAATTTAAATGGGCTTTTGATGCTTTGAAAATTTGTACTTTTAATTTGGAAATGTCTAAAGTGAGATTATCTTCTCTTCCCTGTAGATGACGTCTAACCATGTCCCAGTGATGCTCAGAGTCATTATAAATTTGGGGTGTAATACAAAAATCTGATGTATTCCAGTCACACTGTAACTGGAAACGATGTTCTAAGCTCATGAGTCTGTCTCCCATCCAAATGACAGTTTGTCTAAGATCATTAATTTGATTTGCCAATTTTTGATCAATACCAGATTGTGAATTCCACAATCATGTAGAATTTTTTTGTCAATCATTAACAAAGTTTACTGACTGAACAGAAGAGTGCAATGCAACTCCTGCCACAGCAGCCATAGATGTGACTGCAATTAATCCCATAATCACTGCAATTAAAGTAAAAATGAATCTTTTGGATCTATTTAAAAACGCCTTTTAATACTTCAGTCAAATATGGATGGATGGCGAGGCCTCCCATGGTCGGTCCATGGACACAGGGATCCACACGCCTTCTCTTGCTCTCACCAGCAGAATACGGTGTTGCCAATTAAAAGTTGAATCAATGCAAGTAAACAATCTACAATTTTCACAGGTTATAGTTTGAGAGTCTGGTTTAATAACTATATTTCCTACAACTAGCATATAAGGGGGCTTTACACAACTTCGTAAAGGAACTGTTAGACTGGAATTTAGGTAGATAGTATAAAATGGCTTACGATCTCTTGTTTCTAAAGTTTGATCTCCAGACCAAATCCTAATGTGGTATGAGGCTGCAGTAAGCCTCCACAATTCTGGATGTTCAGGACCAGAAACAGGACTTATTTATTTTTGGTCGTGGGGTGGAGATTCCTTTTTCTCCCATACCCAAGGGTAGAAAGACTGTAATTTTTTATGCTTATGTTTGTCTAGACTTTCTGTTAAGTCGCTATCACAGCTGGACTCACTTGTGCACTTGGACATGACTGAGTTTGTCCTGAGCAATTGTGGTAGAAATGACCTCGAGGTGCCCAATCTATTACAGTTCGGAATTCATTGTTTTGTAATATCACCACACTATTGGCCACACACCTTCTTCCCAAACTAAAACTTCTGTATTTTTGATCCTTTGGAAATTTCCTTGGGGCAAGGTTTCCCTTTAGGTCTAAATTTTAATGATCTTTGATAAGAAAAAGTCTTGTAAATAATTTACCCGTGGCCTGAGTGACATCCCGCTTACCATGTGATA